>NC_000020.11:7793607-7945122 GCF_000001405.40 Homo sapiens | reverse complement strand
GGGAGGGAGGGAAGGGAGCATGGATTGAAAAACTACCTATTGAGTACTGTGATCACTACCTAGGTGACAGGATTTGTACCCCAAACCTCAGCGTCATTCCATATCCCCAGGTAACAAAGCTGCATATGTGCCTTGGTATCTAATATAAAAGTTGAAATTATAAAAAAGAATAAGCCTCTTAAGAAAAAAGTCCCCCTTTACATTCCATCTCGCCTAAACCATGGTCCTCAAACAATGTTGTGCATCAAATCACCTGGAAGGCTTGTTACAGCACAAATAGCTGTAGAGTTTCTGATTCAGTAGGACTAGGATGACGCCTGGAACTTGCATTTCTAATGACTTCCTAGGTGATGCTGATGCTGCTGGTTCAAAGTCACACTTTAAGAACCAATGGCCCTTATGTGTCTTCTTTAGTTTCACCGGGACTTGACCTGATTAACAATATTAGATTGCCTCTTCATTCTAATCACATTAGTTGCAGGATGCTAATTATTTTAATAAATGCTAAATTTGCACATAAATATGCAGATAAAAGGTCATGCTTTAATCTTTACATTTTGAATGAGTTATAAGCCATAATTAAGATCCCTTTGACCACATTTTCATAATAATTTTGTTAACTATGAAACTGAATTATTTAGAACTTGCTTATCTTATTGGCAGATTTTTCACATCCTAATAGCGATTTTAATATGTCATTTCATCTGTCACTACATTGATGCAAAAAGTAAGCATTTGTGAACTTTGAGAATAAACCTATGTACTATAAAATTCTATGTCAATTTTAACAGCATATGACCCTTCGATTAAATTAAAACCCTTTATTTTTTATATACTATATCATTACAGCTGGGAAAGACCTAATGGCTTATATTTTTGGTTCTGGTTTCATTCCCAGTTTGCCTAATAGGCTGCTATGGAGCCTGCATCTTTGGTTTCTAGTTGCTTTGTCAGTAGTAAAAATAGATTTGATCCATATCCTCTCTCCTGCTCCTTTTGGTGACCCACAGCATGGGAATTTCATATAACAGGTGACCGTGCTTTGTGTTCACTCTGTGGCCACAGGTCAAAACTAAGTCACAGATTACATACTGAACCCCTTAGTATTCTTCTTCATCTTAGACGATTTTCCTTCTCCAAAATAAACTCAAAGGGTATTTACCCACTGTAAGATATGATTTTACACCCTATTCTTTCTACCATATAAAGCCTCATGAAGCATGGGATAAGGCAATTTTCAAAAAGATCTGATAATATAAATATACATTAGTTATGAAAGACACTTCTCTTGGGGGTGTAGAAAATAAACTGGACTAATTGCAAATCTAGCAAAGAAATACTCAAAGGGATTAACTTACTTGAAGAAAAATGGCAATGGCCTTCCAGAAGCTCAAGAATCCCTTTGTCCAATCTCTCGTACATTAGGGAATTGTCCTTATATAATTGACATTAAACAAAAGTCTTTTGGAAAAATGTGTTGGTAAAGTATATTGAGAAGATGAGGGTGGGTAATATTAATGAAATACAGTTTATCATTGAACAATATGGGGGTTAGAGGTACCGACCCACCGTGTAAAACTTTCGACTCCCCCAAAACTTAACAACTAGTAGCCTACTGTTGACTGGAAGCCTTACCAATAACAAAATCAACTTACACATATTTTATATGTTACATGTGTTATATACTGTATTCTTACAATAAAGCAAGCTAGAAAAAAGAAAATGTTATTAAGAAAATCATAAGGAAGGGAAAATATATTTACTATTCATAAAGTGTAAGTGGTACATCAAAACTCTTCATCCTTGTCATCTTCACATTGTGTAGAATAAGGAGCAGGAGGAAGAGGAGAAGTTGGTTTTGCTGTCTCAGGGGTGGAAGAATCTAAAGAAAATCTACATATAAGTGGACCCTTTTTTTTGTTCAAAGGTCAACTGTGCCTACTATATGCCAGGTGTTTAAGCGATGATATATCCTTTGTCCTCACAGTCACTCCTCAGGGTAGGGATGAATATTTCTCTTTGTCTTGGTTTGAGTTTCACCAAAAGGAGACTGAGAGGCAAGCATTCAAATGCAAGGAGTTTATTTGGGAGGTGAAGGGAGCACCAATGAGGAGTAGGGAAGTCTGATTAGAAGGGAAGGCAGCCAGGCCGGGCACGGTGGCTCATGCCTGTAATCCCAGCACTTTGGGAGGCTGAGTTGGGCGGATCACGAGGTCAAGAGATCAAGACCATCCTGGCCAACATGGTGAAACCCCATCTCTACTAAAAACACAAAAATCAGCTGGGTGTGGTGGCATGAGCCTGTAATCCCAGCTACTCGGGAGGCTGAGGCAGGAGAATTGCTTGAACCTGGGAGGCGGAGGTTGCAGTGAGCCGAGATTGCGCCACTTCACTCCAGTCTGGTGACGGCGTGAGACTCCATCTCAAAACAAAAAACAAACAAAAAAGGAACATAGCCAACACAGCATAGATTATCAACCAGCTCACACTGTGGATAACTGAAACCTGCAATGTAGAACATAATCCTAGGAGTAATCCCACCAGAAGAATGAACTTTCTTGGGCTTGTGATTGAGGGCTGTTCCACAGGGTATGGAACTATACTATTTGGCATGCTATGTTTATGAAAAAAGCAGGCTCCAAGTTCAAGAGCAAGTTCTCCTACAGGTGTAGGTGGTTGGAATGTAGATAGTGAACAACTGGCAAGCAGCTTTAAGTGGCGGCTCCTAGATTGAAACTCAGGTCTAACTGTAGTTAAAATCATTGCTTTCTCAAGCATATCCTACTAATGTGAATCTTCCCCAGGTGTTCCATGATTGAGTGAAATTATAGACTGAGACCACAGGTCTTTTGGAATAGCACTTCCCTATACCCTCTCCAGGGCAAGATAAGACTCTAAGAATTAGTGGTAGGCCATGTGCAGTGGCTCACACCTGCAATCCCAGCACTCTGGGAGGCCGAGGTGGTTGGATCACTTGAGGTCAGGAGTTTGAGACCAGCCTGGCCAATATAGTGAAACCCCATCTTTACTAAATAAAAATACAAAAATTAGCCAGGCGTGGTGGACATGCCTGTAGTCCCAGTTACTTGGGAGGCTGAGGCAGAATAATCTCTTGAACCTGGGAGGTAGAGGCTGCAATGAGCCGAGATCACACCACTGCACTCCAGCCTGGGAGACAGAGAAAGACTCCATCTCAAAAAGAAAAAAAAAAAGAATTAATGGTAAACCTAAATGCCCATTAAGAGACAAATGGATAAGGGAAATGTATAGATATACACACAATGAAATATTATTCAGCCTTATAAGAGAAGGGAATCCTGTCATTTGCAGTAGAACCCAGAGAACATTATGCTAAGTGAAATAAGCCAGGCACAAAAGGGAAATTATTGCATTATTTCACTTATAGGTGGGATTTTGTTTTAAAAAAGACTTCAAATGCACAGAGCTAGAGAATGAAACAGTGAATACCACTAGTGGGAAGCAGGGAAGAGGAAAAGGGGTGATATAGGTCAAAGGATACAAAATAGTAGACACGTAGGATACATAAATCTACAACAGGGTCCCTAACCTTTTCGGCACCAGGGACAAGTTTTGTGGAATACAATTTTTCCATGGGCAGTGGGGGTAGGTGGATGGTTTTGGAATGAAACTGTTCCACCTCAGATCATCAGGCATTAGATTCTCATAAGGAGTGGCGCAACCTAGATCCCTCGCATGTGCAGTTCACAATAGGAGGCGGAGCTCAGTCTGTAAAGCTTGCTCACCGGCTGCTCACCTCCTGCTGTGCAGCTTGGTTCCTAACAGGCCACGGACCAGTACCAGTCCATGCTGGGGAGTTTGGGACCCCTGGTCTAGAGAGCAAACGTGCAAAATGAGGACTAAAGTTAATAAAATTGTATCATATTAGGAATTTTTGTTAAATAAGTTGATTTTAGCTGTTCTTGTCATACACACAAAAAAGTAATTACGGGTGAGATGATACATATATTATATTGGCCTCCCTACTGTAACCATTTTTCTGTGTATATGTATCTCATAATATCATGTTGTAAACCTCAAATATACAGAATGAATAAAACAATTAGCTGTCAATTTGGCCTTAATGTTCCATGTTAAAGCCAAATGTCTATGTTTGTAATCAGCTAAATTTTATATTGTGCAGAAGCCCTGAATTTCACGGATGCCCCATATTTCATGGATGCCCCGTTCAGTTCATAAGCTCTTGTTTACATGATTTGTGCATGATCCAAATGTGGAAAGAAAATGAGTGGGCAGCCTATTCTGGGTATCAAGCAAAGAGCACAGGCACAGACCATGTGCAATAAGCAGCCTTAGGCAAAACTGAACCAAGAGTGGTTTCATACAGGTATTCCTCTAAGTCTTTAATTTTTTACTTATTCCTTTCCCCTTTTTAATGTGATAGACACCTAATCACCTTCTGCTGCCTTCCCAACCTCAACTTTGGTGTTCTTTGGCAGATAGTGACTTCGGTGTTCTTTGGCAGATAGCCTACAAATGAAATTTCAAAGGCTAAGCATATAATGTTTGCTCACTTGATGTAAGCAACAGAGAACTAAATCTGAACTTTGGCAAAAGTCTATTAATAATTGACAAATAACAGAACAGTGAGGATGTAGAAAGCAATACATTAAAAAAAAAAAAACAACGAACTCCATCTGGGATAGCAATAACCTGTGAAAATGCTCCCCCGGCTAATTTGTATCAATGATTATGAACAACATGCTAAATCAGTACTTCCAAAGTCTATATATGACTATTACAGGTCTGGGGCAAATGATGAAGAAACTTTGGCTGATAATATTGCAGCATTTTCCAGGTAAGAAAATTTATTTTTTAAAATCATGTTTTAAAATTACACAAAGACCGTACCAAAATAAGATCTCCTAGTTTTACGTTGGTGGTGTGTAATTATTTGTTCAGATTTGTGCTTAGTAGAGAGGGAAAAGTTCTTGGGGCTGTAAGAAATCTTGGGCCTTTAAATTGTTAAAAAATATTCCAAGCCTGTGAATCTTGAGGAACTGACTGCAAAAGCCAAACCTATGTTACTTCACTTGGAAATATGACAACAATTAATTTAACTACATGTAAAAATAGCGATAAATTCGGATGACTTTTCTTTTTCTTAGTATGACAGTAAATGCTTATGTTCATGGTGTAGGAAACAGCATTAAATGCCAGATAACCATCTTATCCGGATGAACCAGACTGGATTGTTGGCTCAAATGTTTTCTTCCTGCTGGCTTTTCGTGTTATCATTCATTTTGATTACTGTTGTCTAAACTTTCACTTTAGATTTCAATTTGTCTATGCAGCATTAATCTTTCAACTTTGCTGTTTCATCTCTCCTTCAAAGCACTTCATCTCTCTTCCCAAATTAGTTTTCCTTTGACTTTCATATTTCAAAGCACAAGATGGTGGGTGACATGGTTTATGTTTTCTGTTTGTAATAAAAACAAGAAATAAAATCATTTCAAAGGGTTTTTTTTTATAGCAGTTACAAAAATGGTTTATTTGCTGGAGCAAGAGAGGAGTGCCTTCACTACACTACACTCAGTCTCATCCATCTAACATTATGGCTGTTAGTAAAGGCAATCGGTATTGTGGGTACTCATTGATGGTGATAAAGACAAAAAGGCAGAAAATATGCAGGGGGAGAGAATTAGCCTTCCTCCCTGATTTCTTCTTTAGTCTACAACAAAATCACTCAAAATCAGTTTTCCATATTTAAATTAGGAGAAATAAAATTATCCTGGCCAAGGTGGTCTCTGGTAGGCAGCACTGATTCACCCACAAATCCATGTAGAAGACTGAAAATGGCAATGGGGTGAAGGATACGGCCTCTCCCCAACCCTTTCAAGCCTTGACTTTGTCTCAGGTTTTGCCTGGAACCCAAATGAGCTCAACAAATGCCAGGGAAGTCATGGGAAGGGAAGTTGACTGAGAGTAGAGGGGCTTAAAATTCTGCATCATTATTTACTATTTTGGACTCATTTAAAAGTTTCTGCTCTTGGAAGATGCCCCTTCTTGGGCCGATATTAACTTTGTCCACCAAAATTTGCCTATGAGTGGTCTCTTGAAAACACTTTAACCCAAATAGGTTATTACAACCAAGGAAATTTCAGACCCTTGACAGATTTATAGAGTTAGTGTCTCAGCATTGCTAGACCTCCAATGCTCAAGTGATTATTTATTTCATTTGTATACAGCTTTCCTTACTTCTTAATTCCCTTTGTCGCATGCTAGCTAATTAACTAGAGCTAATTAGGAGTCTCCATGAGCTACACTGTGTACTACATGCTGAGGACAAAGCAGTGAGCCAGACAAAGTTCCTGTCCCTAGGAACTTACATTCCCCTGGATGCATATCAGCCTCCATAATGCTGTTGGGTTGAATTGATGCAAAATGGGCCCAAAATAGTTGGCCAAGTGGAGGTCTCAGAGAGGATGCAAAGGGGCGCCCCAAAGCAGATGGATCACCTATGCAACCCTTTAAAATGTAGAAACTTTGGGAGACATAGAAGGCTTGGTGACTTCTAAGTTATGAACTGGAAAAGTGCCTCATGCCTTATGTGAATTACATGGTATTCAAGTGAGTATTCCCATCCTATGTGTGTACCGAGTAACTTAGGGATAGGACACAGATAATGAAAATGAATTTGCAGTGTCACCTTTTCCATGAACCTTGATCATTCTCTTTTGTTCAGCTTTAAATTAAAAAAAAAAATCAATCAACTTTCTTTGGAGGACAGCTGATGCTATTTTATTATCAACTAGTTGAGTTTTTATTGCAATACATTTTGCAATGTGTCCTCTTTTGCTGTATGACTCGCTAGGTGAACCTTGATTCCTCACACTGCATCATGTAGCTGGTCACGTGAAACTAAGAATAGAAATTCTGCCAGGGTTGTGGAGACTTTGGGTTGATGGCATGAAGGAAATCAACCTGAAATTTCACATTCTGATTCTAATGAAAAGTGCAAAACAATCAAACCTCAGATAACCCATTGTGATACAAAGCCAGAGTATTTCAAACACATTTATGAAATTTATACACCTCCCCATCTCGCAAGTACAACAAAAGGTCATTCACCGTGACAGCTTTTATTTCTCTGTACTCAGCTCTGATAATCACATTTTGGAGTTCTGGGGACATGGACCACTCATGTGACCCAGCAGTTGCTTGGAGATATTTTTGGGTAAGACTTCAGACTAATATTACTGTGGCAGTAGAAAAAAATGTTTAAAAGGACAAGTAAATGGAACCACCCAGAACAAAATTTCTTACGGTGGTTATAACAAAACAGGGTAAATGTCAA
Organism: Homo sapiens; assembly: GCF_000001405.40. Classification (NCBI taxonomy): domain Eukaryota; kingdom Metazoa; phylum Chordata; class Mammalia; order Primates; family Hominidae; genus Homo; species Homo sapiens. The sequence goes on along the minus strand of NC_000020.11, from coordinate 7,937,786 downwards.
CTTGCTACATTTTGCATGGCTGGAATTGATTGGGATTAATTCAACGAAGAACAGTAATTTGTTTCTCTTACACATTTATTCAAAGTAGCCTTCTCAACTATGGTCTTCACGTTGTTGTAGCTTTTTTTTCTGAAATTATCAATGATGGAAGATGATTAAACAATTTCGACACTTAGAAGCCCTCATGATTTCAGAAAAGGAAACTCTTTTCTGCTGCGTTACCTATTGAGACTGAAGATGGCATCATTTTCTTTTAAATAACAGATGGGTAAAAGTGATGTCATTCTTTCACTTTAATATTTGAGAAGTGATATGAAGTTACCAGTGACATTGTGTTCTCATAGGCATAAATGTCACAAAATAATTTATCTAGTATCCACAATAGGTGAATAAGGTGTTTTTGCTTTATATATTTTAACTGTTTAGAGTAAAAAATTAATGTGGAGAAAATTGGAATGCAGTATTATAGGATTACACAACTTACAAAACATGAATCCACTATGTCCAGTTAGTGTGATTCAGAAACAGCATGCAGTTATAAAGCTGGGTGAGGCATGGGTGTCTTCCTTCAACAGGGCAGCTACTTTGTGAGGAGTGTATATATCATTTGATTTTTTTATAAGTTAAATTTGAGGCCCCTGTTAGATGTGAGGGTGGGCCAAAATTCCTGTGAACAGATTCTCCCCGTTACCCCGCTTCCTTTACTCTGGCATCTCATTTTCTATCCTTTGAAAACGGTTTATTATTCAATTGGTTCAACTGTTTGCCAGTTGAACCAATTCTTTTTCCAAAGTGGAGGCCCAGGAAAGCACAGTCCGAGAATATAGTGAGGTGCTATTTTATGTATGATTGTGGGAAATTTACTTAAATTTGGAGTGGGGTTGGGCAAGGCTTGGAAAGCTAGTGAGCTATCTGACATAGTTGTTACTACTATTTGAAAAATATCAAAACATGGAGGACTCTTTAGATAACATGCCTGTTCCCATTCCATTGATTTTATCTAATTTTACGTAGCAATTACGTTTTGTGCATTGGTTGACAAGCCTCTGTATTATCCTCAGAACAGAAAATACTGTTTAAGGGAAATTAAGAGCCCGCAGTTACTAAAGTGACTGCGCCACCAAGTGGACAAGTGTAAAGCCACTGTCTGGAGATGGAAGGATTCAGCTTTGCTTTATAAATGGGAATTTGACCTTTAAAAATGTCCCTTTTGGCACGCACGCGCGCGCGCGCGCGCGAACACACACACACACACACACACACACACACACACACACACACACGGCTGCTGCCCTGCAGATTTGCTTGTTCTTGTCATAAAGCTTTCATTGTTTCTCTAGCTCTAAGTAAATATTAATGCCTTCCAAGGCTGGCATGCCAATGGCTGCTATTAAGATCGTTTTCTCTCATTCTAATAACACACTTAGAGATGATTGGTAATAAAAACTCTCTTCAAGGCTTCTGCTTCTCCCCCTTCAAAATGGAGATCAAAGAATCATGCTGTGAGGGTCCGTCAAGAAGAAAAGACTTTCAGCAACAGAGCATGTGGTGTGGCATAAAATAATGACAATTATAATGTTCAAAGGAATAGCATAGAAATCACACAGTAAAACTTCTTTATTATGCTTTTCAGGGACTGGATGTTTTTACTTTATTATGTGAGGAAGGGTTAGATTACAGACCCTTAGCTATTCCACAAAGCAATAGAAGGCAGAATTTCTTCTTCCGCTACAGGAAGCACGCTTCGATTAAGGGCTTTTTCTTTTTCTTCTTTTTTTTTCTTTAAGTTACTGCATTACTATATCATACTTCACTATATTTACTAAAAAGTCATGCTGTTTCTGGAAGTAGAGTTACATCTAGGAAATACTAGGTGAATGCTGGTTAGATATGCATGTGTGCCTAAACAACACGTTTATTATACTCATGCATACTAGAAATAGGGCTGTATTTTCTTCAATTTTAATCAGTACTAATGAGAATAATAAATCAAAACAAATAGGAGAGATATATTTTGCCAGGAGGAAAGAGAACTAGTTCTTCTGTAAATTTTACTGGTGAATTTTTGGTTGCTGGTTTATTGGTAATTTTCATTCCAACACAGAAGAATCACAGAAACATTCATTTAAAATAATTTTCCGGAGTCAAAAACTTTTTAACACCCAAATTTCAGTTTTTGTCAAATAACATTTTTGAGAAAAGTGTTAAATTAAACTAATAAAAAACCTTCCCTCATCATTAGACTTTAATGAATATGGCATATAACTAAATAATTTTGAAGAAACCAAATTATAATTTTAAAAGTAATTGCCTGAAGCTGCTGTTTATCACATAAAAAGAAGACAAACTAGACATAGCATATCTTCTTAAACTCTAATCTAAACTCTATGCATTTGTATACCATCTTGATTTTCAAGATTGGGGAAGTGAAACGAAAACTATGTTCACACAAGAACCTGTACGTGAATGTTTGTAGTGGCTTTATTTAGAATTTCCCCCCAAACTGTAAGTATTCAAAATGTCTTTTAGCTTGGGAATGACTGGACAAATGATAGTACCCCTGTATGATGGAATATTATTCATCAACCAAAAGGAACAAACTATTGACACGTACAACAACATGAGAAAATCTCTAATGCGTTATGTTAAGTGAAAGAAGCCAAACTCAAAAGGCTACATACTGAATGATTTTGTTTACATGATATTCTTGCAAAGCAAAATTATCAGGACAAAGAAAAAATGCATCAGTGGTTGTCAGGGGATTGAACTGGGGAGAGTTTCTCTGCAAAAGAAAATGGGGACTTTTTTGGGAATGATTGAACTTTTTCTAGATCTTGATTGTCATGGCAGTTACACCACTGTATGCATTTGTCAAAATTCACAAAACTGCAGACTAAAATGAGTGAATACTATTATGTATTAGTTATACTTTAATAAATAATTGCTTGGGAAATTCATTATCCTCTAATTGTTAACTTTCTAACCAAACAAACAGTAAAATTGCCTCTTTTCCATTAGCTTTATGAAGTCATTTGCTTGTTTGGAAAAAATCCAATTATATTTTTTCTTTTAACTAAAATGTAATGTCAAAGTTTTGGTTATGATTCTGAAACTCTAAAGCCTTTTATTTTATTTTATTTTTTAATTCTAGATGGAAGCTGTATCCAAGGATGCTCCGGAATGTTGCTGAAACAGATCTGTCGACTTCTGTTTTAGGACAGAGGGTCAGCATGCCAATATGTGTGGGGGCTACGGCCATGCAGCGCATGGCTCATGTGGACGGCGAGCTTGCCACTGTGAGAGGTAGGAGGAAGATTGTCACCACAGGGACAGAAGGAGGCTAACGTTTATCGACCTCCTTCTCTGAATGCACCAAGCAAATATGTTCCTTGATGTTTTTACACTCAGAAACATTAAGCTCATGGACTCTATCATCAAAATACTTGTTCTTGCATGTCCTGCTCCTCTTCTTTCCAGCTGTGTGACTGGGCAAGATATCCTCTCTCTGCATTGGTTTCCTTGGCTGTAAAATAGGGACAAAAATTGTACCTGCCTCATTGGGTTATGGTGAGAATTGAATGAGTTCAGGTATACAAAGTTCATGGCAGAGAGTAGGGGCTCAGTAACTGTTGGTTATATTATGGGTATTAATAGTACTGTCTCAGGAAATGGATCTCTGACAGGTAGACTTGCCCAAAGTCACAGCTAGGTAGTTACAGAATTGGAATTCAGCCCTGTGGCTACCTTATCTCAAAACCCTCCTGCTTCCCCCAAACCAAAGTGGTTCTCACAGCCAAATTGCAAATGGAGCAACGTGGTTGGTTGTGTTTTCTTCCGTGGTTTTGGGTCATGATTCTTTTTTATGGATGAGTTATATTCCCAATAGAGCAGTTCCAGCTGTCTTAGGAGGGAGTGATGAGAAAATCAAATATGATGTAAAGAAATCTCTTATTAGGGCTAATTTATTAACTTTCCAGTTCTCTAGCAACTGTGAACATTTGAAAGGCTGTGCAGAGTAAAAAATCTCCCCAAATTGTGCTCCAGAAACTAATATAAAAGTTGGAAATGAATTATTTTGATGCTAAGCAGAGCAGAAAAAGAACACGACTATATAATATTTTAAAACATTTTAGTTTTAAGAATTAAGGATCTTGTGAATTCACTTCCCTTCTTGAAATGTCTGACATAAAATTCTGTCAGGGATATCAGAATGGCACAATGAGGTTTTGCTGGACAGACTTAGCAGCTTCCTTAATTCTAGGACCACATACAAATAAGTGGCTTTGGGGCCTCAGCCTTTTGTCTATGGTAATCCTGAAACATAAGTAGAGAGAAGAAAAAAAAAGGGAAATACTAAATGGGTAAATATCTATACAAAATCAAGATAATAAAGGCCCTTTCAGGCTTGAAACTATAGGCAACAACCTTAGAACAAAAGAAAACAAATGAACATCAAAAAACTAAAACTTTAGTGCTCTTAAATCTCAATGAAAATAAAAAGTAAATGGTAAACTGAAAGAAATGGAAAAAAAATATGAGACTGTGAAGGGTTAATGTCCTTTCCACGTAAAAAGCCCTTATATTTGAAGAAGAAAATAATATATTGCTCAAAGGGAAAAAGAGAAATAAGTGAACAAAAGATATAAATAGGAAATTTACAAATGGAGACATAAAAGTGACCAATAAACATATGAAAAATATTCAATTTCATTAATAAGCAAAGACATGGAAATTATGACCATCTATTTTATTTTCCGTATATCGAATTTTTATTTTAAGATCAGGCAGTATGATTAGGTTAGGGAGAAAATGTGCATTTCAAACAGTGTTGAGAAAAGTATAAAGTGGAATAATCTTCCTAGAAAATAATCTGGCACTGTATATCAAAGCTCTAAAAATGTAAATTCCATGTGATGTTAAAAATTCTCTTCTAGGAATTCCAAGGAAATAATTATGATTTTTGAGGAAAAAAATCATTTCTGCAAGGATTTTCATGCTTCTTATTTTTAGCAGGAAAATAATTTGAAAAAAATACCCAAACATCTTATAATTGGAGATAGTTTGCAAAAAATATGATGCATAAAAATGACATCAAATTTAAAAATTATACTATAGGAAGAGTGCAATAATGTAGAATGATATTTTAATTTAAAATTGTGAGAAATCAGTTGCAAACAATAGTCAGGTCCTAAAATACATTTAGTTTCAAAGATCACAATTTACAAATGTTTATTTATAAGTGATGAGATTACTCCTGACTTTATACTCTTCTGATTTTTGGCTCAACCTTATAAACTCTTCTTTGAATTATTTTGTAAGGAGGAAATGATAACAATTAGATTTAAAAGAGTAGAGATAAAGGGACAAGGGACCATGAAGAGAATGGAAATAAAGAAAGGAAGCAGAGAAAGCAAAAAGCAGAGCTCACTTGGTAAGGCACCCTGGAGCCAGCAAATTATTTTTACCACATGTATTAGTTCCTTCTCACACTGATTTAAAGATACTCTTCGAGACTGGGTAATTTATTAAGGAAAGAGGTTTAACTGACTCACAGTTCTACATGGCTGGGGAGGCCTCAGGAAACTTACAATCATGGTGGAAGGCAAAGGGGAAGGAACGACCTTCTTCCCATGGTGGCAGGAGAGAGAAGTGCAAGCAGGGAAATGCCAGATACTTATAAAACCATCTGATCTCATGAGAACTCACCCACTATCATGAGAACAGCATGGGGGAAACCACCCCCATGATCCAATCACCTCCCACTAGGTCTTTCCCTCAACACCTGGGATTATAATTCAAGATGAGATTTGGATGGAGAAACAAAGCCTAACCATACCAACACATATTGCTTTATTTGATATTTGACAGGTGTTTCTGTCCCTGTTTTGTGGGCAAGTAGCTAAAGTTCCAGAGAAAACAGTTTTTCATAGCTCGTCAATGACAGACTTATTCTCCAAGTCACATTTGATGGTTCCAAGACCAGTCTTTATTCTTGGTGGAGTTGGGCTGAGAAGAAAGAGGAGAAGAAAGAAGAAAAGAAAGCTTCCTTAGAAACTATGATTTGACAGTGTAAGTAGGACTATTTCCTCCAGAAGTAACCATAAGAAGATATTAAATGCCTATTACAGTCTTATCCCCTTAGATTTATTTAACACTTATAAAGCAATTATCATGTTCCAGACACTATTTTAAGTATATTACGAGTATTATAGCATTGAAGGCTCAGAGCGGCCCAAATAAATCGATCATATTATTAAACCTATTTTACACAGGAGAAACTGAGGTACACGCCAGGTGAATAACCTTGCCTAGGGATGCACAATTCATAAGTGATAGAGATGGGATTCAGACAGAGGTATTCTGTCTCCAGAATCTGGGCTCCTCACCACTTTGCAAGAGCTTTAATTTCAGAAACTCCTATGAAGTGTCATGAGGAGAAGCCCATTATGATCCCCTAGAAGTAATTATAGTTTTAGGAGCATGCAAAGCAGACCCCTCAGGAAGATAAGTTACACAATAGACATTTGGATAAGGTGGATCCAGCAGAACAAAGAGAGGGTGGTGACATCGAGATTGCAGAGGAATTGGAGAAGGCAATGGAAGTGTACACATGTTGCCCTCAAAAACATAGGGTCCTCCATTGGGTTCCTATCAGGGCAGCAACATCAGAGTTTCTATTCTGTATTTATACTAGAAACCTCTCTCCAGGGTTTCTAAGTTTTCACCTATGTTTTAAAGACTATCTATAGGTTATTAGTCTATTTAATATTTAGGTGTATCCAGAAAGCTGATGGTCATCAGCTCATAGCAGGTGTTCTTTGGCTGGTGTGTTTATGTTGTGGGACAGTGGGTTACTTGCAAGGAAAGGATGAATGGCTGGAGTAGATGGTGCTTGTGCTCTGCATGTATTCCCTTCTTACTTCCCATTTCCATCAGACCTACCACTTTTTGCCTGACATTATCTGTTGCAACATGAGCCCATGGATAGGTGTGTTTGAAGTAGGGGAATGGGAGAGAGGGTTCCCTAGCTAATGATGTACAGCAGTAGGTGGATAAATACCTCAGCTCTCTTTGCTCAGGTAACTGAAGCATTTTCTAATATGGTCACCCAGTGTTCCTTGGAAGGATTGAGTCCCAGTTGCCCCCTGAGGTTGCCTGCCCATGAACACACCCTCTTTTATTGGCTTCCTTCCCATTCTTTTCTCACTTCCCCATTCCTTCAATTCATTGAGATTGTTTCCAAATAAGATGACTTGCTCTCACATCTCTGTGTCATTTTTGGCTTCTTGAAGTATGCAAACCAGGATAATAGCTAACTGAAGGCTATAGATAGCCACAGGCAAATTTAAGTAACAGTGTAAGAATATTCATACTTGGCAGAGATTTATTTATAAAAACTCAGAAAATTCACATGGAATTATGAAGTTATTATTGTATTTATTCCATCATTCCCAGAAAGAATATGGAAATCCTCTCAAGCAAGCCAGTCCTTGGGAATATTGGGAAATCTATGCAATTTGTTGTGGAGTATTTTTTTTTTTGTTACCCTCCTAAATATCTGGCCGCTAAGCATTCCTGTCTCCAGGGACTTAGACCCTAGCAAGGAAGAGAAGTTGGGGCCAGGTTCAGAAAACGGGTTAGTTATCAATCTCCCTGGAGAAGTGTCCCCCTCAGCAGGGTCAGTGAGAGTAAGTGAAACCCATTGGTGCCCACAGGCAATGGTCTGGCCTGAGTAATTAGAATGGGCCTCCAGAAAGTTCTGGGAATTGCTATGGTGCCATAGTCTCATTTTCCCCGTTGACTCTCCAGATTTATTCAGAGTCCAACTTCAAGGGCCTTTCTGCCCTTCCTCTCACAACTGTGGAATAATAATAATCCACCTTATTAACTGGGACCGAGAACTGAGCTCGACTCTTATTTTTTTGAGACAGAGTCTTGCTCTGTCACCAGACTGGAGTGCAGTGGCACTATCTCAGCTCACTGCAACCTCTGCCTCCCAGGTTCAAGCGATTCCCCTGCCTCAGCCTCCTGGGTAGCTAGGACTATAGGCACGCACCGCGACGGCTGGCTAATTTTTTGTATTTTAGTATAGACAGGGTTTCACCATGTTGGCCAGGATGGTCTTGATCTCCTGACCTCATGATCTGCCTGCCTTGGCCTCCCAAAGTGCTGGGATTACATGCGTGAGCCACCGCGCCCTGTCTGAACTCTACTTTTTTACACTGCTGCATGTTTGTAGAGTGACCAATGAAGCTATACTTTTTTCATTTTCAAAATGATGATGAATACAAGGTTATCAAATAAAACACAGAGGGCCCATTATGTTTGAATTTCAGATAAACAACAAATCATAGGTGTCCTGTATGTTTGCTCAATCTGGCAACCCTGGATGAATAAGAGCTCTCACCTGAGGATTTCTTGTGAGGATTCATGAAATAAATGCTAGAAATGCTTACACACTATCTTTATTTGCCCCTCAGAGCCCAAAGTCTCTGAAATCTTTATCTTTCACACACAAAAACTCACTTTCAGAAAAGTATATTCCATTTACATCTAGTGGAAATAAAAATTGTTCTTTTTCTTTGTGAAAAATATTTTTATTTTAAGCTTTATGCAGAAACCTCAGGGAAAAAAAGGTACTTTTAGGAGCCAGGCTTGTAATGTAAATGTCCAAAAAAGATGAAATTGAAACAAACAAACAAACAAACAAACAAACAAACAAACAAAAAACAGTGCAAGCTCCTGTGTGGAGACTGCAGTGAGTCTGAGATTGCATGTTCCATCAGAAGGGGGCAGCCACATCTTAGCTCTTGATGACCCAAGGGAGCAGGGATGTGGGGTTGCCAAATCTTCCAAAATTTTAAGAAGCCAGAAATCTTGATTTCTATGTACAATCTCCTGGTTTTTAAATGTGGGCAAATAAATCAAAATTCCCTAAAACACTGTTTGGGGCAACAATGTGTGGGCCAAAGTAAATACTTTTGTGGGCTACAAGTGTCCCCTAGGCTGTACATCTGGGACATCTGATTTATGTGGAAATTTACCGAGAACTAGTTTTATTTCTGTGGCAGGTCATTTTCACTTTCTAGGATTATGTTTCTTCATTGATAAAGTGAGCTACTTGAGCAAGACCAGTGGATTGAATGCCACGTCCCAAGGAGGCTGGGGTTGTTTCCAGGGATCTTACAGAACTTAGGTGTGATACTGAGCATGAGCTACTTGTGTTGCATTTTGGTGTTCAAAAGAAAAGTTCTTTAAATAGTTCTGCTGGAAAGACAAAAAAAAAAAAAAGAAAAAACTTTCACAACAAAAATCTCCAAAAACAAAAACCCAGAAAACTGGCATAGAAGTGGATGATCTTTGCAATTTTTTTCAGTATATAAATAAATGATTTTGATCCCATTTAAAATTTTATCAAATGCAAAAAGAAACAATTCAAAGTATAGAGCTACCTTTTCTTACTCTACTGAAATCTACACTTTATGTCAGCCCTGGAGGGTTTAGACGCACTTTATGTCAGCCCACTTCTTTCGACTGCACTATGTCAGCCTTGGAGGGTTTAGATGAGGCAGTGAGCATTTGAATGCTTTTAATTTCCATTTTTCAAAGTACATTCTTGGTCTATAGGAGAGGAACAAGATATGTAACTATCTCTGACTATTGCTAAAAACACAAACGTCTTTAATAAATGTTGCATAAACTCAGAAAGTGATACTTCAAAGTCTTGTGAAAAATGATGATCACCAGCATTTATACAGCAATTAGTATGTGCCACGCAATTTGACTTTATTATTTATTCATCTATCTTTACCACCATCTTAAAATATGTGAGTGCAAAACCCTGAGAAACTTTCTCCAACTCCTGTGGGTGTGGAAATCGAGGCTTAGAGAGGTTAATGCTTTGCTCAGATTATTAATCACTTAGGCAGTGCTACCTATAATATCCTGCTCTGTTACTGGTATTTCCAAACGTCATTAACTGTAGCAAGAATCCTAAGGCAAGCACTATGCTATCATCTTAAAATATTTATTGCAAACATCCTATGTTTTATTGTTTTATCTTTTTAACTTTGAGAAGATAAAATAAGCCACAGAAGTGAAATTAATTGGGAAATCATTCGCTTTTTGCAAAATTTGGGAGCATAAACAATGGGTCATGAATTACAATCAAACAAAAGATAAAATTCTAAGAAGTCTTTTAAAGTGGAAAAAAATAACTGAAAAATACTGAATGGAGGGCAGTTTTTCATGCACTGTGTTACGAATAAAAAATTTGATTCAATGGATTACTTAATCAACATTTTAATAGTTGTAAATCTTATAATATTTAAGCTGTTTTATAAGTGCCTCTACTTATAATGGCACATCCGTTTGAAACTCTAGCAGATCATTTTTATTTATTTTTTTGAATTTTTTTCTTTATATTCTTTAAAGAAGGATACAAAATTATTTCTATGAATATTTAACATATGGAAGGAAATAGCAATAATAAACATAAATGCTAACACATATAAAATAGGTGGTATCATTAGGCTAAATTTTAGTCTTCCAGGATAAGTAGAACATCTCTGACTTCTCAAATATCCAATTAATAAAATGCTTACTATACCATTTGGTGCTTTAAGAACATTGCCATGGAAACCTCTCAGGTTTTATGCACAGTAGCTATAATAAAATTTTCCTTCATCTTTCATGGAGCTACTTGAGATTTTTTTTCTCCCTTTAAACATGAGAAATCAAAAAGAAAGAGAAAAGAAGGATTAAATATTCATTTATCCTTTTGCTTCTGACTTGTTATGTGGGCAAGTGCCACATGAGGGAGTGCTGGGACCTCATATCAAGAAAAATTAAAACCTACCTAATGCGTTCCAGGAATGTTCAGCATATTAGCAAATTCTTATTAAACTGTCAAAAAAAAAAAAAGTTTTAAAAGAAATTCCAGCCCCTGGATGCAATTAGAGGCTACCACACTGGATTTGATGGGCCATAAAACCATTAAATCTAAACACTTTCTTTTTGAGCCTAAAAGGCCAGAACATTCCAAAGTGAAGTTTTGGGACTCAGCTATGACTTGACCACCTATTAAGATGCAGGTGGAACAGATTGCAGAGTAACACAAAGAGCCACACAGACCCCAGATGACTGCATTAGGGTGTAGGTGAGAGTTTTAGCTGTTGAATTTTCTGGATTTTCCAAGATTAAGTGATCAACCTTAACAATGAGTGAAAGACCATTCAACAGGAAGAATTGTCATTTCCTTTGCTCTAAACCCAAACGATGTATTTTTTGAAAGCTTTATTGATTTATATATTTATGTGTTGTGCTAGGCGACCGACTAGATATATGTTTCAGCATACCTACTAGGAAAATATCCCCATTATTCTCAATTTTACCTAATCCAGGCAAAGCACTGGACTTGCTTTAAGGAACATTTTTACTCTTTCTGAAGTGGAGTGCCTGTCATGTATCAGGTGCAATGCTTGGACTTTACGTTCTTGTGATTAATCCTTACAATAGGCCTGTGAAGTAATTCTCATTCTGTTTGACAGTAGAGAAGAAGGAAGCCCTTGACCAAGGTCTAGTGCCAGTAATGGTGGTGATGGGGTTTGAACCTAAGTCTGTTTCACTCTAAAGTGTAACCAAATTTTATGTTTTAGACTTGCTTTTCTAACAATAAAAAGTCAGTGACATGCTCTTTCTGTGTGTAAGCACTCACACACACACACACAAACACACATCCGTATTACATATGCTTATATATGTATTAAAAGATTATGGACATTTGATATATATACATATACTAAAATGTATAATTCATTGCTAAAGTATTTTCATATAAATAGTGGCTTCAGTGTTAAAATCACTTTGCAATGAAACAAGATTGTTGATTAAAACACCTATTAAAAAATTAGAATCTAGCCATATTAAAGACAGTCATCGAATGGAGTGATTTCTACGATTTTGCACCAAAATTTAAGCTATTGGGTGGCTTTCTTGAGAGCATGAGATTGCTTCTTCTCAGAATTATTAATGTGCCTGATGACATTAAAATGTGACAGTGAAAAAAGTCAGAGGCTCACATGTGTATCCCAACACTGAAGTTGTTAAACACTGGGAGGTTGGTTGAAGTTGTTGTGTGCAAACTCAATACTCCTTAAAACCATTATTTAAAGGCCTATCACTGTGTTATGGTCTCCATATGATCTGCCATTTATGCCAGGACTTGACAATTCAGTAAAATGACAGAATAATAACACAGGAATCACTGCAGTAGAGCTAATGTTTTAGTCTGTTGCAGAGTTCTGCCCTAGAAATACAGTGAAAACAAGGAAGGGAGAGCTAAGATGTCCCTGAGACTAATTGTTCCTTGAAAATATTTTCATAAGTAAAAAAGAGGTCTAGAGGTGTAGTGGCAGTGTGATCACTCAAGATTATATAGCTCCGGATTCGTTCAATGGGCCATGATGAAAGCACGGCAACGATTAAATCTGGTTTCTTGGTCTTTCTTGGCAGTGTTTAAATTGGTTCAGTTCCATAAATTGTAAATTAAGATCTGTTTGACAACTTTTAAGTATTTCAAGCATAATTGTAGTTGAAGGTTTGTTCTTTTAGATCACTGACTTCAGAACTTTATTTTTCTGGTTAATCTCAATTGTAATTTTAGACATTCATAAAACAATGTTGACTGCGTCTATGTGATGGTAGATCCTCTGTGAAGACCTTTATGATGGTAGTTCCCCTGTGAAGATAGGATGACACACTCAATGGACATTATGGTGCACAGTTATACAAACACTTCACTATGACAGGCCCTGAGTTTAGAACCACACAACTGCTTGGTACTTGGTCATCGCATATTTTCCCCATTACGTAATGACTTCCTGTGCAGATGACAAAATGCGTTTTCTCAACAAAATTATTTTCAGTGCAGCTGTTTTGATGACTAAGTTTTGTAGGAGCTTTTTAATCAAATGCACCTAAGAAAACCCCAACACTTTAGGCCCTTTGAACATATTACACTTTTTTGCTTCCTCTTTCCTCTTTTTCCTTAAAACCATAATTTGGAAATTTGATTCTGCCTTCCCATAAAAGAGAATTATTTTCAAAGAAATTATTTGGGTCTAAATTAACATGTTACTTAATTGTTCTGCTTGAATCTAGGTATATGATTAGTCCCATATGAATTGATGTTCCAAATAATTTACTCTCATTGATAACTAATATTTTCTATTTCCCTCTATTGTTTTGTGGTGGTGGTGGTGGCTGTGGATGAACATCATTCTCAAATATATTATAATTCCCTTCCTCATCAAGCCCAGCATGATAAACTTCAGTTTTGCCTGATGGTTCATCATCTTATTTCTGTGTGTAAGATTGTTGGATTTGACATTAAACATTTGGAAACTATTTTATAATTGATAACTTGTGCTTTCTCAGCTTTGAGTAAGCGCTCTCTTCTTCATCTTATACCATTTTATTTTTATTTATTATTCACTTCTGCTTCTGATCTGAGATCTAGGAAGCTGGACAAATCCCAGATAAGCAAGCTAAACAAACAAACAACAACAACAACAACAACAACAACAACAACACAACCCAAACTAAACCAAACCAAAATCATGGGATAATGGTTAAGTGTACTGAGGGGCCATTATGCGAACACAGTTTAATTCCTTGGCTTTAAAACTAATAAGAGAAGAATACATAAACAAATGTGGCAAATGTACCTGTGACCCTCTCCAGAGGGTGCCAGGCTAGAAGAAAGGCAGATTTATCAGCAAGGCATGGCGGGCCATTGGCAAACCATGGGACAACCACTACCAACTTCACTGCCATTGCTCCATATTTCCCTCCCGTTTTCAATGAGCCCCAACTTTGCTCAGGACATCACACATATTCTACTAATTTGGATGAGTCCTTTTGAAAGAAAATATCTACCTCATGGTTCTCAAAGTATGGTCCTTGGAACATCAGCGTCAGCAGGACTCTGGAGCTTGTTAGAAATGCAGATCTTAGGTCGCACTACAGACCTACTGAGTCAGAATCTGAATTTTGTTAACATACCCATGTGATTCCTCAAAGATTGAGAAGCCCTGATCAGAGCCTGGGATGAAAGTTCCTGTTGGTTCCAAGCCAAAGGCATAGTTCAGGTCTTCACACATGACACTATTAGATGTAGATGGATATTGTTCCCTTCTGAAGACCCTCAAGGTCTTCTGAGAGCCTATTAAGTTCAGAATGACTGCCTGAAATGAGTGAGAAGTCACAAGGAGACTCTAGATAATTAAGAGATGTGTTCACAGTAGTCTTTGATAAAAACCTGGGACAGGCAGGCTTAGTATGCAGGCCCCTAAAATTTATGTACACAATGGATTTCCTATTTTTGCTTCTTCACATCCAGATTACCTGGATCAGAAATAAATGTTTTCATTAAGACTTGATGTGACAAACAAACAAAACAAAACTCTGCCAAGCTCTAGAAGAACAATTGCATTTCCCAGCCAGAGGGAGAACACTGCCAGTTTTTGCTGTTTTCCAAAGCTGTTTACCTGTCCTAGCTCATTTAAATCACTGTACTTTGGAGTTCCGGATTAGCGTCCCCAGAGGTAGCTGCATTCATACTTGATGAGTTCTTTTAAATCTCAGCCATTGATTGTAGGTTCCATAGTATAGGAAATTTAGCCAACCCTCTATTGAATGGCAGTTTAGAAAGGTCGAGCTACACTTACCTTATGTCAGGTTATTGCAGACCCTTGTGGCATTTTTCCACCCTAGGACATGTGATTTAACTCTAATAGAAATCTTTATTATGGGTGGGTCTGAGATTAACTTTTATTCTATAAAACAGAAATCATGCCACTGGCCGTAGCCCATTTTTTGAGATGGAGTGGGGGGAATGGATGATAGTAAACAAGGATATTAATCTCATTTATTTTTATATCATTATATTTATAGTTACATTGCAAATGGAAGAGTAGAGAAACCAAAAACTTACACTGGGAACTTTACAATTTTTCTTCCAAGTATTACTGATTGATGTTTGGACTATGCAAGTGCTGCCAGCCCCTTAGACTCACTCTGCAGCTCCCCCCATGGAAATTTGTGAACAGGTTAGGGTGGGGATAGGGAAAAGCATGTTCTTGTTTCACTTCTTGGATTATTTGTTCCAGGCTCTCCAAAGTAATGTGTACCTTGGGAATGCAGAAATTATCTCCTTAGATATTCTCTCCCTATATATGTCCTCACAGGGAATTCTTGGAATTGGAGAAGATTCCACTCTCCTTTAGGAGCTTTCTCCATAAAGGTATTGAGCATTGGACACTATATTTGCAAGGGAAAAGAGGAATGGGTCTCTTGAGCATCAAAATCATTGTAGAAGAATCTCCAAACTGTTTTTCAAAATGTCTGTACTAACTTACATTCCTGACATCAATGGGTTCCCTTTTCTCCACAAGGGTTCCCTTTTCTTTGCATCTTCACCAACACTTGTTATCATTGGTGTTTTTGATAATAACCATTCTAACAGTTGGAGGTGATACTTCATTATGATTTTAATTTAAATTTCCCTGATAATTAGTGATACTGAGCTTCTTTCATATATCTATTGGCCATTTATATCTCTTCTTTTGAGAAATGTCTGTTCAGATCCTTTGCCAATTTTTTTTCTTTTTTCAACTTTTATTTTAGAATCAGGGAGCCATGTGCAGGTTTGTTACAAAGGTATATTGCATGATGCTGAGGTTTGGAGTGCAAATGAATCCATCACCTAGGTAGTGACCACAATTCCAAACAGGTAGTTTTTTTCAGCCCTTTTCCCCCTCCCAACCCCACTGTTGTATTCCCCAGCATCTATTGTTACCATTTTTTTGACCATGTGTATCCAATATTCAGCTTCCATTTATAAGTGACAACATGTGGTATTTGGTTTTTGGTTACTACATTAATTCACTTAGGTTATTGATTTCCAGCTGCATCCATGTTGGTGCAAAGGACATTATTTTGTTATTTTTTATGGCTACATAGTATTCCATGGTGGATATGTACCACATTTTAAAAATTCAATCCACCATTGGTGGGCACCTGGATTGATTCCATGTCTTTGCTATTGTGAATAGTGCTGTGATGAACATGCAGGTGCACGTGTCTCTTTGGTAGAATGACTTATTGTCCTTTGGGAATATACCCAGTTAGTGGGATTGCTGGATCGAATGGTAGAAAAACTCTCAGGTCTTTGAGAAATCTCCAAACTGCTCTCTATAGTGGCTTATTTAATTTACATTCCCTACAGCAGTGTATCAGCCTTCTCTTTTCTCCACAGACTCACCAACATAGTATTTTTTGACTTTTTAACAAAAGTAATTCTGACTGGTATGAGATGGTATATCATTGTGGTTTTGATTTGCATTTCTTTGATGATTAGAGATGATGAGCATCATTTTCATATATTTATCAGCCTCTTTTATGCCTTTGTTTGAGAAGTATCTGCAAATGTCCTTTGCCCACTTTTTAATGGGGTTATCTGTTTTGTCATGTTGATTTGTTTAAGTTTCTTAAAGATTCTGGATATTAGACCTTTGTTGGATGCATAGTATGCAAATATTTTCTCCAATTTTGTAGGTTGCCTGTTTACTCCTTTGATTGTTTCTCTTGCTGTCCTTTGCCTATTTTTTAATTGGGTTATTTGTTTTCTGGCTATTGAGTTGTTTGAGTTCCTTATTTTTTTTTTTGGATATTAGCACTCATTAGATATACACTTTACAAATATTTTCTCCCAATACCTGTGTTGTCTCTTGATTCTGTTAATTGTTTTCTTTGCTGTGCAGAAACATTTTAGTTTCACACAATTCCTTAAAAAACTAAAAATAGAATTGCCATATGATCCAGAAATTCTACTTCTGGATATTTATTGAGAGGAATTGAAATCAGCATGTTGAAGAGATATCTGCACTTCTATGTTCGTTATAGCATTATTCATAATAGTCATGATATGCCATCAACCTAAGTATCCATTGACAGATGAATGGATAAAGAATGAGGTGTATGTACACAAAGGAATACTATTCAGCCTTTAAAAAGTGGGAAATTCTGTAACAACATGGATAGACAGATACTATATGATCTTACTTATATGTGGAATCTAAAAAGGTAGGTCTCACAGAAACAGATCATAAAAAGGTGGCTACCAGAGGCTGGGAGAGGAAGGAAAAGAATGAGGAAAGTGACATATTGATCAAAGTTGTACAAAGTTTCAGTGCGACTGGAGTAATAGGTTTTAGTGATCTATTGTACTGCATGGTGTCCACAGTTAATAGTAATGTATTGTATATCTTAAAATTACTAAACGATTAGGTATTTAATGTTCTCCCTACAAAAAAATGGTAAGTTGGTGTATTAGTCCACTTTCACACTGCTATAAGGAACTGCCCGAGACTAAGTAATTTATAAAGAAAAGAGGTTTACTGGCTCACAGTTCTGTATGGCTGGGGAGGCCTCAGGAAGCTTACAATCATGGTGAAAGGGAAAGCAGGTATGTCTTACATGGTGGCAGGTAAGAGATCCTGTGTGTGAAGTGAAGGGGGAAGAGTCCCTTATAAAACCATCAGATCTCGTGTGAGCTCACTCACTAGCATGAAAACAGCATGGAGGAAATCACCCCTATGATCCAATCACCTCTTTCCCTCAACACATGGGGATTACAGTTCCCTGCCTTGATGCGTGGGATTAAAATTTGAGATAAGATTTGGGTGGGGACACAAAGCCAAACCTTATCAGTTGGTGAGGTGATGAATATGGTCATTAGCTTGTCTAAATTTGTCTGCAATGTATACATAGATCAAAACATCACTTTGTACCCCATAAACATGTGCAATTACTATTTTCCAATTAAAAATAAATATAAATAAATTAAAAATAATTGCAAAGGAAAGCTGGCTGTGGAGAAGATTAACAAATAATGACATTAAGAAATTCAGGTCCTTGGCAAAATTAGAAATACATACAAAGCTATCCAGAACTTATTTTTCCAAATGCATTAGGCGTCCTCTCACCTTACCCTTTACAATTGCATGGCTTCAGAGATTACACAGAAAACGTTCAGAAACATTGCCCCAGTAGATGATCTTGCAATGCTATGAAGTAGGCAGAACAGCTGTGGCTATAGCAATTGTGCAGATAGAACGTACTTCATGGATGGCAAGACTGGGACTCTAGGACAGGCTTTCAATCCATTCTACCCTGTTGTTGTTCTGAAATGAAAGTTTTATCTCCCAGTTTATATAGGTAGCCTTATCTTTGATGCTTCAATACCTGAGACCTGGCCAGTGTCCCTTTTAGTGATTGTATGTGTGTGTGTGTGTGTCATATGCAATTTCCTTATAGCAATGGCACAGTGTATCACTGTTTAATTAAAGAAGAGAAAGAAATGCCAAACATACGAATAAAGTCTGAATATATCTGTAACATTAAAAGTGTAGGTGTCTATCTTTGAAGATATGTCTTAAGGACAATGAAAGAGTCAGTGAGTAAGAGAAGAGAGTCCTGGGATTTCATACAAGATCAGTGTTACTTGATGGTGTAGGCTCCTAGGTATTTCATCTTTAGGATATACCGTCTATTACAAAAGCCAAGATTTTTAGATTTGGATCAACATTAGGGAACTTCATTCTAGGCAAGAGCCAGGTTTTGCCTTTATGTTAATATGACCTCAGCTGTGAGCTCCATTTTGCCAGGCATCTTAAAACTGCAACACATATCATTGGAATCTTCCGTTACAGTCTAATACATAGCCACACATTGGGAGCAAGAATGAAATCCAACCCCTGTCCTTTGCAAAATGCAATGAGACAGTGTCTGCTTTGGGAGCAGGGAGTCAGAATTTCATTGTGGACAATGGATAAGGTGAGTAAAAGGGCTTAAAACATTTGTGCTTTCAAGCCATAGGCTAGGATAACGATAGTCAGAACTTTTTGATGAAGTCTGACCATGCTACGCCATTTATAAAATTTTGAAGCTTGTAAGTATTACCCCAAAATGAGCAGTGTGAACTCAAAGGGTTTATCATTGTCTCTCAGGCAAAGGTAATATTTGAATTATTTAGCAAAGGACTTTGAGCAATTGGAAGAGATACTCAGCTGCTGGTCTCTAGCGCTCTAACAGGGTGGATGCCCCCCGCTCTGCCGGCACTGATGTTTAAGTTGCTGGATTATGAGGAAGTCTGGGGATTCCTTGGGGAGAAAAGGAAGTGATGACATATTGAAGCACAACGACATATTGAAGAGACTCGGGGGCTGGGGTGATAAACTTCAGAGCCGTGGCTATTTACCAATTGGAGTGTAAGTATTTTAATATTTTAACAAACATAATTGCCATTCTGGTATGTACCAACTTCATCTCAGATCTGTCCTTAAGAAATAGGCAAATTCTTTATTGCCTCTCTGAATGGTTCATATAAATTCCCAGGCTCCCTTAGCTCATTCTAACATAAAACTGTATTAAAAATAATGAATGTAATTCATCAATAATTTTCCTTTGTCATAGCAAATAGTCACAAGTGGATTGAGATCAGAGTGATCACTCATATTTGTTCTGGGGAGAAGGGAGCCTGCTGTTTTGCTCCTGTTTTCTCCTAGGACTAGTATTTTAGCTTCAAATGATAATACCTTAGCACAGACTCTGATATTCCTCCTACATGCAGGAGCATTCTCTTGGAATAATTTTGGGGATGCCAATTCAAAATTTCAGCCATGTATGATTTACTTATTGGAAAATAATCACTGAGCAGCAATAACTCCAGCAGTTACTTGTATCAAGGTAGAATCAAGAAATAGATGGTATGGACCAAACTTGCTTCTCTCTAAATATGCATACCCAAGTGATTTGGGTAAAATGTTTGTGAAGGGCTTACATTTCCTGCAAGTCAGATGGTTTAAGAGAAGTAGAAATTATGTGTGTTTTGCAGCATTTTGGTAATCTGTGTGGAGTGTCTGTAGATATTTCTCATGAGTTCAAGGGAATCCTTTTGTGGATTTTGATGTTCCTATTGGCAGAGCTGCTGCTTGACTACATGATGTCTTTGTATTAACTACAAAAACATGCCCTATCATCTGAGTGATTTTCTCTGCCAGACCCCTTTGTGCATCCACACTCTGCACCTCCAGTGTACGGAGGACCTTCCCACTGGATTCTAAGATTCCATGCCTTCCCAATGCATGGCAGTGTCTCTCATGCACATGGCAAACCTACTCTCTTGGATGTCACTGCCCTGAAATATTGAGGGAGTACATTTATCTAGGCATGGTACCAGGGAGTCATTTAGACATGTAGGGAGTCTAGAAAGATCATTGCCCTGGGAGAGTGCTCAGCCATGCTGAGTTCTCCTACTTTGTTGCTCATTTCTGTGTGACCTTAGGTAACATCCTCTTCAGGACTTTTTTTTTTTTTTTTTTTTTGACAGGGAGTCTCATTCTGTCATCCAGGCTGGAGTACAGTGGTGTGATCTCAGCTCACTGCAATCTCCGCCTCCTGGGTTCAAGCAATCCTAGTGCTTCAGTCGCCTGAGTAGCTGGGATTACAGGCATGCGCCACTACGCCCAGCTAATATTTGTATTTTCAGTAGAGATAGGGTTTTATCATGTTGATCAGGCTGGTCTTGAACTCCTGACCTCAAGGGATCTGCCTACCTTGGCCTCCCAAAGTGCTGGGATTACAGATGAGAGCCACCAACCCTGGCCAGGACATAATTTATTTCAGGTGAATTGATTGTTGGAGGATTTTGATCCAAGCAATCAATGTCCCTTGGTGTTCCTTTCAAACAGCAGTAAGTGACCTGAATTTATTTTCCACATTTCCAAATCTTAATGAAAATCAGACAATGGTCTATATGTTCATTTGTGTTCTTACTTAATAAAATGTGGGTTTTAGACAATATTTTGCCAGTCATGAATTCCTATAGAAGGAACTCTTTGGGAGAACAGACTAGTGATCTATAGACATGATGACCTCCAACTCAGATCTTCTGTAGCTAACCACTGACCGGGAGAACATGTATGAAAAACATCTTCAAAGGCATTGAAAAATTAACATTTATCAAAAACAAAATACATTTTATTTCATTTGAACTTAGACCTTTACTATCTAATGGCTATGGTACTATTTAAATGTCAAAGTGTGATCTAGCATCAGCCTAATCTGGTTAGAAATGCAAACTCTTGGGCCACATCTCAGACTTACTGGACCAGAAGCTCTGTGGGTGGGACCCAGAAATCTGTGTTTCATTCACATGCCCTCCAGGGGATTGTCCTGCTAAAGTTTGAGAATCATGGAAGCTTTTTAACCTCTCATTATAGCTTTATAAGCAGCAACTCACTGGATTCCTATCAACATCCTGTGAGTGTCATTTGGACAAGTATATTTATACCCATTTGATGCATGGTAGGCACACAGATGAGTCAAATGACTTGAAGGAATAGAGTTTTACATAATATACTTTTATATATTTATACTTCTAATATATTTATACTTTATAACAGATTTGACTGTTTTATATATTGCATATAAACATTATATCAGTTTCTCCTCCACTAAGGCTGACTCCAATTTTACTCCAATTTTACTACCAATTTTTGGAAGAAAGCCTACCTATCACTCATGTTCTCTCAAGTACCCTCTAAAACTATTAGTTAGATGACTCTATTTAATTTTCCATTTATTTGCCCGTTTCTTGCTACCTTTCCCCCCAAAATGTAACTGCTACCTTGCTCAAAAGGATGTGTCTACTTGGGATATCTAGCACACACATTTTATGAGATTTTAAAAGACAACATAAATGGTAAACTATATATTTAATACAATTTTGAAAGACAAAATTTTAAAATTAAAAAGGAAGAAAAAAATTAAACTAACCCCATAATTCTCCCACCCATCATTAGCATGTAGTTTGTTTAGATTCATCTACCAATAAGTAGAATTGTACAAATTTGATATCATGTAATACATGTCATTTTGTAAACTTTTTTCTTTCCTTAATATATCTATATATCATAAACATTTTTCTATGTCTATATTATTTTAAAATTGTAATACCCAGAGTTCTCCAGAGAAACAGAATTAATAGGATCTCCCCCTTGGAGATTTCTCATCTTTTTCTCTCTCGATAGATACAGATAGATACATACATAAGTCTATCTCTCTATCTCTATCTTTATCTCTAAAACACCTATCCATAGATAGACATTTTTAGGAATTGGCTCATGTGTTTGTGGAAGCTTGCAAGTTCAAATGTGCAGAGTAGGTGGGCAAGCTACCAGGGAAATGTTGATGTTGCAGTTCCAGTCTGAAGGCAGGCTCCTTGCAGAATTCTTCTTTTTCTTAGCAGTCTTACTTCCCCTTCCTCTTCCCCTTCTCCTTCCCCTTTCCCTTCTTCTTCTCCTTCCCCTTCTTCTTATTCTCCTTCACAGACTTATTTTTAAGGCCTTGAGCTGATTAGATAAGACCCACTCACATTATGAGGGATAATCTGCTTTACCTGTAGTCTACTAATTAAAATGTTAATCTCATCTAAAAAACACCTTCATAGCAGCATTCAGACATGTTTCACCAAATATCTGGGCACCATGGTTTAGCATATTGATGCAGAAAATTGATTATCATAATAATATTATTTTTTTTTGAGATGTAGTTTCACTCTTGTCACCCAGGCTAGAGCGCAATGCTGCAATCTCAGCTCACTTCAACCTCTTCCTCCTAGGTTCAAGCGATTCTCCTGCCTCAGCCTCCTGAGTAGCTGGGACTACAGGCGCCCATGACCACGCCCGGTTAATTTTGTGTTTTTTTAGTAGAGATGGGGTTTCACCACGTTGGTCAGGCTGGTCTCGAACTCCTGACCTCAGGTGATCCACCCGCCTCAGCCTCCCAAAGTGCTGGGATTACAGGCGTGAGCCACTGTGCCCAGCAATAATATTAATTTTAATGGGTGTGTTCATTTCATTTTATATATGACCTACAATTTAACCAATCCCCTAAGGCTGGATGTTCAGGTTCTTAATATTTTTTGCCCGTATTTACAGACACCTTTGACTATTGGATTTATTTTGTTCTTCAGGAACAATATACAAAGTGTGGAAAGAAATGTATATTTCTAATCATTGGAAAATAAACACTGAGCAGAAATAACTCCAGTAGCCATTTGTATCAGAGGAGGTAGAATCAGGAAATAGATGGTATGGGCCAGACTTTCTTCTCTCTTTAAGAGATTTGACTTCATATTGCCAAATTGCCCTTCTAGATGTCTTTACTCATCCAACTACAATTCAAAGGTTTGGGAGGGTAAGCAATGCCAGGCCCATCTTGATCATCCCCTTTCTTTCTCAGCCTGTCAGTCCCTGGGAACGGGCATGATGTTGAGTTCCTGGGCCACCTCCTCAATTGAAGAAGTGGCGGAAGCTGGTCCTGAGGCACTTCGTTGGCTGCAACTGTATATCTACAAGGACCGAGAAGTCACCAAGAAGCTAGTGCGGCAGGCAGAGAAGATGGGCTACAAGGCCATATTTGTGACAGTGGACACACCTTACCTGGGCAACCGTCTGGATGATGTGCGTAACAGATTCAAACTGCCGCCACAACTCAGGTAACCATGATCATGTGGGCCCCGAGCTGAGGCGAAAGGGATCTTGACTGGGAATGTTAGGGTCTGGGTTCTACTGATAGCAACGTTGCTAAACATCTAGTTAATCTTCAGCTAATCACATCCCTTTTGTAGACATCACTTTTTTTGAGATACACAATAGAAACAGAAATGGCCTCTATAAAAGTCCAATAAATTTTCAGACCAGAGTGCATTAAGGGCTTTGGCTTTGGGAAGTATGAATTGCTATACAGATGGAAGATACTGAATTTTGCCCAAGCAGCAGTTTATTATTATCATCCTGGTGCCCTATTTCTTTGTTAAAGTCAAAGAGCCACCTTTACCTTTTATTTTTAATGGTACATGGGACAGCTAAGGCTAAGAAGATTGAAGAAAGAAAATAATGAAGGTTTAAAAAAGCCACATCTTTGATCCCTCACTGTCTACTTCTTCTTTCAGCAATATTCCTTTCACTGTGGTTCATCCATGGGTCAAGATTCATTGATTCATTCACTCAAATCATTCATCTTAGCAAAAACAATATATCACATAATCTGATGTTGAACTATAAAGGTTTCATCAGGTCATTCATTCACCCTGTCCACAAGCTGTGAATTATTATCTCTTTCCTGGTTGTATTTTGGGATTACAATCATCTTGAGTCAAAGCTGGAAACTGAGTGGAAGTCTCTGGGAAAGACTCAAACCTCCTTAAGCTATACACCTCTTTTCCCCATCAGATTTTCCTTCCTTCAGTTTCCACCAAAATGTGCTCTTGGATTTTTCATATGAATGTATAATGTACCTCAGGCCTATAAGTATTTTAAAAGGGATCAAAATCTTAGTTTTAATGGAGGACATTTTTATGATGGACTCCTACAGCATCCATCAGAATATGTAAGATGATGAGGAATGTCTTCCTGTGTTCCCAGATCTCATGCCACAGAGGCCCTTGCTTACTCTATGTTTGAATTGTATTTGGAAAAAAAAAAAAAAACAAAAAACTAGGGCTAGCAAAATTGAAAAAAGATAAAAGACGAAAGAAGCCACATGTAAACATACTGTGTTTACTCTTCTAAAATATTAAAAAATGAAAAGATCCAAAATCAAATTAATATTCCCCTGGAATTTCATATCTATTTCAGTGACTGTGGAGTGAATCTCACCACGAAAGTTGCTGCAGTCTTGTATAAGTTTCACATAGTTTTACTGTGTTTGTGCCTATGTGAGAATAAACTACTGTGCATAAAATCTTGCTGTTGAGCCATGTGTGAATTAGCTGTGTGATGTTACCTCCCTGTTACTACCAGGCTGGTTTAGGATATCATTTCTGTATGTGGCACCAGGATTAGACCAATGACAGAAAAAGAAAGTGCTCTCCCTGCCAAACTGGCCAATAAAACTGTTCCACATATCCCAGACTCAGGGTTACCTAAACAACCTGTGTTTAAAGAGAACAAAAACAAAAGCCTCTGACATAGTCTTACTCCTTGCCAAATTCGTCAGAAAGCTGATGGATTCAAATTCCCCCAATATGAATCCCGTATTTACATTATTTCTCTATTTTGACTACTTTTTTTTTTTTTTAAAGACTTTCTAAATAGTTTCCCACTATCGAGGCTTCTTAGAGGAAACATTTCTCATTATTTCCCCTTGGCTATTTGAAAAGGAATTTGTTCTTCCTTTTCCTCCATCTCTTAACACTACTACTACTAACAATAGTAACAACAATAGTAAGTACAGTAGGGTTTTTTGTTTTGTTTTTAACTTAAGACATACTTTCTTGTTCTGGATACCAAAATATGTTTCACAGAGGCATCTACTTAGATGGGGTGCAGATGACACAGTTGTTAATTCTGGCAGGTACCTCTTGCTTCTTCACTGCTGGGGCTACTCAGTGAGTGGCAGGAAGGTTGATTTGCTTTCCCCCCTTTTCTTTTGCTCCTGGGCTCCTTCCCAGATGATGTGACGGGCCATGAAACAAAGACTCTTTTCAGCTGTCGGTGTGCATAGAACTGGCTGCGGCTTCCTAGCTTGTCACATCTCCGGTCTGAAGATGATCAAATAATGAGCAACACATCCAGGTTATAGGGAACACGGGAAACACCCCGCAGCTGGGTGTACCCCAGCCCCTCAGAGTGCACATTGGTGTTGTTTGTCCTAGTGGACTTCGGAGTAGGCCAGTGCCTTCTGGTCAGTTCCTCAGTGGCCCACATTCAGCTCTTAAAGGCAGAGCATGCTAACGGGAGGTCCAGGCTTCCGCCTGAGGCCAAATACACCCCAAAAGCTCATCTGTTATAGCCTGATATGAAATCGGTTTCTTTCTGCAACTGACCTGACTCATAGAAAGTGAAGCCTGGCTTTTCATAAGTGAAGTTTGGCAGGCAAGGGAGGCAGGAAATCCAGAGGAGAATGAGCCTGTAAAGCATGGCTCCTTCCAGCCCTTGTTACTTCCTCTGCCCAAGTGTGGGGGAGGGTCCTGTCTCTTGGCATCTGGGCCCAGCAAGAGTTCAGAGGTTTGGTAGTCTCTGCTTGGTCCATATGCAAAACACATGTATGTGTATACATTATTAATGGCAAGGGGGTTCCTGAAACTGAGAGGGAGTAAGGAGACTTCTCATCTGCTCTTGGAAGAAGCAAGGAATGAAGCCAGTTCAGTAGACTGATTCCTGAGGCTTTGGGGCAGGAACTTTTTCTTTCTCCATATCCCCATGGAGATGGTTCATTTACCCTGAATTAAGATTTGGCCCTTCGGTGCAGTGCCAAGGCAGTTTAAAGAGAAGAAAAGTAATTTCTGATCATTGACTAAGATCAAGGTAAATCATGACACTTATCCTTTCTATGATTTGCCAGTGACATGTTTTCTTAAGCCCAGAAATGATTTATTGATCGCAGCAGCCAGAATATATCACACTAAAACAGATCAGCCTGCCACTGTCTTCTCAGGTCTCTCATGATTAAAGTGGCCTGCTTTAAAGTAGACTCAATGTGAATAGGTCTCCATGACCTCTGCCTCACTGCGTAGCACTCACATCCTCACCCACTCTTGCACTCTGGCTTCCCTGCGGTTCTTTCAATATGCCAGGCATGCTGGAACCCCGGAGCCTTTGCACTGGCTGTTCCCTCTGTCTGTAACAGTCATTCGCAGAATCAACGCATGACTAATAGCCTCACTTCCATTGAGTCTTGACATTAGGAATGGATATACATGTCTATATTGGGAAACCACAATAAAAATTGATGGTAGAGATGCAAATATGAGCAAGATAACAGGGTGGGGGCAGGGGAGAGAGGTCAGTGGAGGACTTGGCACAGTAGCCTCTTAAATGGCACAATAGCCTCTTAAATTTTTGGTTAAGAAATCATTCACATTGATAAGTATGGCAGGATAAAGGTGTCCATGAGTGAATCCCGGGAACCTGTTACTTTATGTGGCAAAAGGGACTTTGCAGATGTGATTAACTTAAGGGGCTTGAGATGGGAAGATTTTTCCTGTTTTTATCAGTAGGCTTGATATAATTAAAAGGGTCCTTATAAGAGGGAAGCAAGAGTGTCAGAGTCAGAGAAAGAGATGAAATGACAGATGTAGAGGTTGGAATGATGTGGTCAGGAACCAGGGAAAGCAGGGGGTATCTAGAAGCTGGAAAAGACAAGGGAATAGGGCTTCCCCTAGATTCTCCAGAAATACAGCCCTATTGATATCTTGAGTTTAGTCCAGTGAGACTTATTTTAGACTTCTGACATTTGGAACTGTAATATAATACCTTCATGTTATTTTTATTGCTGTTGTAACAAATAACCACAAACACAGTTCTACTAATTTCTTTCTCAAGGTAGCTTCTCAATTTTGCCAACGCTGGTTACCATACATACTTAAAGTTTCATTTTGAGTCTCTGAAAACTCACATCTCTCTTAATCTGCTCTACTTTTTTCTTGGCTTTGTATAGTGCTTATGTTCTGCTACACTTTGTAATTTATTGATTATGCTTACCATGGGCAGGGATTCTTAACTGTTTTATTTATTTATATATCTTAAACATTGAAAACACTGGCATGTAGTAGATGCTTAATAAGTAATTGTTGACTCAATCGATAAAATATACTAGAACATACAAGATTTTCCCAATGTAACATAACTAGTAAGAGGCTGAACCGGGATTTGAACTCAAAATTCATTCCCTGAACCTTCTTCTAGCAGCCACATTGAGGAAGAAATTACCAGGGCTGTGTTCTCAACACAAGTGTTTTCCGAACCACAGAATTAAAGGCTGGTGGCCCATGTATCAGTGTCTGTATTTATGAGCCCCTCTTTCAATCTCTTTCTTTTCATATTGTGTTGATGCTGTAGCTTCTACTGGTCATGTTATTTTTTTGTTTCCCAAGACGGAATTATGTGGCTTTATCTTTAATGTTGCATTATCAATACTTATAATAAATAATATTATGTATTACTCAATATTCATGATTAATAGTGTTACTATTGGTTATTTAATAATGTTTAACTTACATTAGCAGTTGTTACTATTTTTATGATGCTAAATTACTAACAGCTAAAACAACTTCTATATTAAAAAGTATATTTGAGTGCCACTCAAGAGATAATGAGTACCTTACAAAGAAGAAATCTTGTTTCTCACCTTTGCGTCATTAAACAGATCAGGATTTGGAGAATTAAGCCCTAAGTAATAGTGTTATTATTTTGATCTCACCCCTTTTTTTCTTATGAAATGGAATACTTTGGTTATCAGAAGCCACTTTAAGCATATATATATATATATATATATATACATATATATATATATATATGTCATAATCCGAATAAAAATAGCATTCATGGAGGTTTCTTTTGGAGCCTTTGGTAAAACACTCCATCGTGGGTCTCTGTCAAGATATCTGAAAACTTTTTCTTGGCTTCTGGCTTTGAACAAAGTTTCAGAGTAACAACAAGGCTTCATTGTGCACTGAAATTTCTGTAAGGCAACATTCATTCAAGTGTTGATTCGCATTTCACCATCCAAGAATAACAACAGTTATTTATATAATTTTATCCACGTTTCTGTTTTTTCCTATCCATTTCACCCTTTCACCCCACCCCTGCTGAAACACTGGAGCTTGTTTGGGATGGGGGTGGGGTGCCATGCAGACTACATACACATACAGATGTTTTTCTTTTTCTTTTCCCGGTCTTGCTATGGGATAGACAGACTGGACTTTTTCTTATTAACAATATTATTTAAAAGCTTGGAATTTATTATCATTTAATCATTTGTATGTAATGAAATAGGTCTCCATGGTAAAGATGTGTTTATTGACCAGCGGTTAGCTTTATTCAAATTAGGGTGACCATAGAAGACCAAGGACTATGATATAATGTACAATCCTAAGTGGTTTGATTTAAATAAAAAGAAAGACCAGGCATTTCAGCTAAAATCCCCACCAAAGCCCAATGACTAGATGGGCATCCATATGACTCAATGAAATTTTCTATGATCTTAAATGGCCATCTGAGTCCGTGAAACTATAGGACTAACTATTCAATCCTTATTGAGAAAGCCTTGTTAATAGCTTGAATTGAGTTATATGGGATAGGAATGTTCATATCTTTATGACAATATATGCCACCTAAGCTACATAACCAGCTGTGTTAGCTAAAATACTCTAAAGTGTAAAAAATCATAGTTTTCTATTAAAGGAAGTCATGATTGTTAAAAATAATTTTTAAATAGTGTGCCTAGATTCTTCTAGTATAATATATAATTTTTTTTTTTTTTTTATTTTGAGACAGAGTCTTGCTCTGTCACCCAGGCTGGAGTGCAGTGGCTGGAGTTGCTCACTGCAACCTCGCCTCCCGGGTTCAAGCGATTCTCGTGCCTCAGCCTCCCAAGTAGCTGAGATTACACGTGCCCACCACTATGTCCGGCTAATTTTTTTGAATTTTTAGTAGAGACTGGGTTTCATCATGCTGGCCAGACTGGTCTTGAACTCCTGACCTCAGGTGATCTGCCCACCTCGGCCTCCCAAAGTGCTGGGATTACAGGCATGAGCCATTGCGCCCAGCCGATATATAAATTTTTATATGGCTCCATGATCTTCTCTACATTTAATGACAGAACTGGTGGAGGGGAAGAAAGAGATGGGACTAAGCCAGAGATCAATATACATACAACTATACTTTGACCAAAAAAAGGGAGATTGACTGGCAGGGGAATTAATAGTATGCAGAAGAGCAAGGTGAGTCCAGTCACTGTCATTATTCAAAAACAGCCTTTCAGGAGAAGTTTGCAACTGAATTTGGGACTGTGGGCAGATAAGTCACAGGAATGATTCTATTGTGTATCCTGAAGTCATCCATCCAGCTAGGAGTCAGAGGTGCAGGCTGAAAAGACATTGCCCCTAGAGTGGGGAACTGCCAAAATCTAGCCAGGATATTAGGCCAAGAGAAAAGACCTCAGGCACAGGGGAAGCCAGCTTCAGAATCTTAGAGGTGAGTTAGAGAAATACTGGGCTAAGCTGGGTCAACAAAAATAGTCATACGGGAAGGAAGCAACTCAGTGGTACTTTGTCTCAGGTTGGGTTCTCCTAGAAGCAGGCTGTGAGCCTATGATTTCAGTGCAAGTAGTTAATAGGGAAGGTGAAGGGAATACTGCTAGAGGAGTAGGAAAGTGAGGCAAAGGAGGGAAGGCATTGAACAAAGGGCATAATACCAAGACAGCTACAGTCGGGGCAACTGAAGCTTAACCCTGCTGGAAAATTCTGGGAACTTAGGCAGAATTTATCTCAGAGTTAGTCTACCTAGCGGTGAGGGAGCTGGGGTATTTACACTTCAACATCCCTAATGCCTCCAGTCTGCTGTGTGGATTGTGACTCAGGCCCAGGAGCAAGAAAAAACCACTGGCAGAGAAATGAAGGTATTGATAATTGAAAAGCTCTTGTCGTTGTCAAACTTGTCTGGAAGATTAGAGAAGTTTGAGTCAGCAGACCGAGAAGTTCAGAGAGAACAACTAAAAGGGGGAGGGAAAGGCAAGAGGTGACAACTCATCTGCTGGGAAACAGTTCCCACTTCTCCCATGCCCACCACCACCATCACTACTGCAATAGCAGGCAAGAAGGAGTCTACAGGGGCAACAGACAGTCATGTTAACACCTGTTACTGCGGTTCCAACCTCTTCTAGAATTTTCTACAAGGGCATTGGAAGGTTTCCTGAGGTCAGGTGCAATAACCAGGAGGAAACTGAGATCTGAGCAAAGAGAATAGTGTTAGGAATGAAGTCAAGGGACCCAGTTTGGAGCTCAAATACTGCTATTAGCTAGTTCTATATTTGAGGCAATTCATTTTGTACCTCTGTTTTTATTTTCTATGGGAATCATAGAGTATCAATGTTACTTTCTAAGAGTCTTTTAAAGAAAAATTGTGATAATTTTGGCATACAAAACCCTTTGTAAATTATAATGCACCATAAAAATGCTTTTTAAATTGTGATTAATTTGCATTGCTGGCTGAAAATCGTGTCAACTCTATTGTCTATATCCATAAACTGGCTTAAAAATGAGATGTTTGAATATGAACACATTTTTTTTTCTTGAAACAGATTTGTTTGTGTAAACACAGCCTAAGATGTAAAATAAAATTTAGGTCACTGATTAAGACCACTAGAGTATCACATTTAGTCTAGAGTCCTACATCAAAATATGGAAAATATGTGTGCAATTGACTTATAGATAAATGAGCAGTGAACAGCCAATTGATTTGAAAAGGGTAACATTTTTCATTGAATGAATCATTGGAAACGTATTTCTAATTTGGCAAATTTCTCATTTTATGCATTTCTTATTTTAGGATGAAAAATTTTGAAACCAGTACTTTATCATTTTCTCCTGAGGAAAATTTTGGAGACGACAGTGGACTTGCTGCATATGTGGCTAAAGCAATAGACCCATCTATCAGCTGGGAAGATATCAAATGGCTGAGAAGACTGACATCATTGCCAATTGTTGCAAAGGGCATTTTGAGAGGTTCGTTTATTTCTCTACTTGAATTCATACTGACTTTGTGATCCTTTGTGGATACGTTCATAATATTCTTAAAGGAAAATAACAAGGAAAAATTAACATGGAAATTGAGAGAGACATTCCAACTCTCAATTCTCTGTTTTCATGTTAGTGAGTAAATATTTCTTCATTCTTAGGTAATATTCTGAAGCAGAGCTAAACTCTCATGAAGCACAAAGTGAGCTTTTTCAAAGAATTGGGATGCTATTGCCTTATTTCAGAGCTGTTACTGAATCATGAAGCCTGGCAAGATCTTGGTAGAACGTCATGAGTTCATTGCTTTACCTGAAAGCTGCAACAGTTGCTCTCAGACCAAAGAGAAGCCCCAAGGAGATATTATGACAGACAGACTTGTTTTAAGAGCTTTTACTCTTTTTCTTGTGCTCCCTCCAGTACAAATGGCTAGGACTAGTTTTTGAGTGTGGTCAAACCCACATCACCTCTCTGAAGAGAATGGCTGACTAGTATGGTCAAATGCTCAATTATCAAGCCATGGGTAATAAGAAACTTAACTATTTCCTCCAGCATCCCCATGTATTCAGATCCCACAGGGAGATACCAATGACTATAATAATTTTGGAGTGTAAATGTGTTTACCCACAAAGGCAAGAAAACCTTTGTGGTATATAACCTTTGGTTATATAGATAACTGCCAAAAACTTTTTTTTAACTGAAATGTTTGAGTAAGTGACTTTAAGATGAGAGTCTGTCCATTAATGTATGTCTATTAAATGACTTTGAATCAAAACTTTTTCATAGATTTTACTTGAACATGTCTGAGTCATGTGGTCCCTATTTATAAAGGTCTACCTACTTTGACTATTTAATTTTATGTGTGAAGAAATGAGCTTATAAAAGTAAAAGAAATTAAGCCCAGTGCAGCATTTAAGTAGTGGAGATATGTTTAAATCCAGATGTTCTTATTCTGTGCTTAAACAAATTAAATTAGTTTTTTAAATCGATATATAATAGTTGTACATATGCATAGAGCATATAGTGATGTTTCAATACCTACAATGTGTAGTAATCATATGAGGGTAATTAGCATATCCGTCATCTCAAACATTATTCTGTACTTCTACAAAAATTGTTCACTGTTTCCTACTAATCATTGTCCTAGTTCAAAATTTTTGTGGATTATACTTCAATGAATATGTATTGGTTTGGTTTACAGACACCTTTAAATAATGGTTTCACTTCCTTTACTTGCATCCATGTTGTTATCCATGATTACTAGTGCTACTTACTGTGGCTGCATTCAACTGTGGGGACTAAATAATATTAACCTGAAGGTTCTGTGCCATTCATTTATTTATTCATTCATCCATTCTCTTATTCACTCACTCATTCATTCCATAAATATCATAACTACTGTGTGCTAAAATATTTTTATGAAATAAAATAATTTTAGATCCTTGGATAAAATGACAGTCTATTCTTGTAGGAGACAGTTATATAAACAAGCATTTTGGGTGCAATAAAATGTTGCATAGAAATCTATGGGCATGGCTTAAAAAAGAATATGGGCAATAATGTAAGAGTGGGTTAGAAAACACTTTTCAGAATGAAAGATGATGCTTGAGTTTTGCCATGATATCAAGCCAATAGACTCTACTTCAGACTGAAGTACTGGCAGAATAAAGCAATTATGCATAACAATTTATAAAACACATAAGCCATTTAGAGAATTTAGACTTTAAAGTGGCTGAGAACCACTGAAGTGTCTTGATCAGAGAAGCAACCTCATCATATAAGCATTTTACAGAAATCATGCTTTGCACAACGGACCTAATGGATGGAGGTGGCAAAATTGTGGTCAGGGAAGACATTTAGGAAATGTTGTTGCCCAGAAAAGAGATAATTGTAGAGATGACCTAGAGTAATGGCAGGGAGGGGACTGAGAAGGTATAATTAAATTAGAAAATTAAGACAGTTAATCACAGAGACGGCCCAGGGGATCTGGCTTTAAAACACTAAGGAAGAATAGAATTTTAGTCTTGTTCCATAATTGTTTCAAATAAGGAACAAAGAAGGAGGTCATTTTATTTTTTAACCACCTTTTCAATCTAGGATTTCCAGTGTATATCATTTTCTACAACTTTATTCCTTAAGATATGTGCAAATCAATTGAATTAGATTTACTATCACATGTTATGTTGAAAAATATTTTGGTTTCTAGATCTTCATTCTGTTATCACTTTAGCTAGGACCACTGCCACCACCACCACCACCACCACCACCACCACCACCACCACCACCGCTACCACAATCTCCATTACCAGGACAACCACCAGCACTGCTGCCACCCACCACCACTGCTATCACCATCACCACTCCCATCACCATTATCACCACTCCCATTACCACCATGACCACCACCACCACCACAACTACCACCATAGCCACAACCTCCATCAACACCACCATTACCAGGAACAACCACCACCACTGCCACCACCACCACTGCTATCATCACCACCACCATCACCACTCCCATCACCACTATGACCACCACCACCACCAGCGCCATAACCACAACCACCATCAACACCACCATTACCAAGACAACCACCACCACCTCCACCACCACCACCAGTATCACCACTACCACCTCCACCACTCCTATCACCACCATGACCACCATGACCACCACTACCACCATCATCACCACCTCTCTTTTCTTCTCATCCATATGGATTTCTGGTTTGTTTCTAAATATTTTTGTGACATTTTACACATAGTAGATAGCCCAAATATTTATTTACTGAACTTCTTGATGAAAACTATAAGTCTATCTAATTAGAGAAAGCTCAAAAAAAAAAAAAAAGATAAGGAGAGATGGGACATTTGACATTTAAAGGGAAATAACTTATTTATACATGTACAGTTTACATCGTCTACTTTTCTGTAACTATTTGGTTCTTTTATTTAACAAACAAGAATCATCTCTATGACAACAATTGCACCAAGTAACACATATGCTCAATCTGGATCGGAAGGGAGCAGTGGCAGGGCCAGTTCTGGGAAATCCAATTTTCTCCATTTCACAGGTCCTCATGCAGAAATCACATGGATTGACTGAGAGTCACCCATCCTCTTTCATTTTCCTTTTTCAGAAAAGTGCAGATTATATTTTCAGGAACATGAAATCATGAGCAACTGTGAAGATCTAGACCAAACATCTGACTGTCTCACCATTTTAATAATTGTATTTTAATGAATGCAAATTAGAATGGAAGATGTAATCTCTTACTGTGTGTGGTTAAACTGCCCTTAGAGAACTTCAACGCAAGCTCCTAACATGTACTTAAGACAGAATTTGGTCTTTGTCAGAACTCACACTAGCAAACAAATGGCTTTTTTCAGCAAAGGCATGGTGCCTTTTAGAGTTCTTTTCTTTTTCTTTTAATTTATTTAAATTAGGCTGTCTCACTTCTACTGTGGCTTTGTGTTTCTGAGAAACTTTTCTCTAGTCAGCTCTTCATATACAGGCATACCTAAGAGACATTGTGGATTCAGTTCTGGACCACCACAATAAAGCAAGTCACATAATTTTTTTGTCTTCCCAGTGCATATGAAAGTTATGTTTTTGCTATACTGTAGTCTATTTTGTGCAACAGCATTATGCCTAAAAAACAATGTATATACCTTAATTAAAAAATACGTTACTCCTAAAAAATGCTAATGATCACCTGAGTCTTCAGCGAGTTGTAGTCTTTTTGCTGGTGGAGGGTCTTTCCTAGGTGTTGATGGTTGCTGACTGATCAGGGTAGTGGTTGCTGAAGGTTTAAGGTGGCTGTGGTAACTTCTTAAAATAAGACAATGAAGTTTGATGCATCGATTAACTTTTCCTTTCAGGAAAGATTTCTCTGTACCATGAGAAGCTATTTGATAGCATTTTACCCACAGTACAACTTTTTCAACATTGGAGTCAGTCCTCTCAAACTGCCACTGCTTTATCTGTGAAGTTTGTGTAATATTCTAAATCCTTTGTTGTTATTTCAGCAATGTTCACAGCATCTTCACCAGGAGTTGATTCCATCCCAAGAAACCACTTTCTTTGCTCATCATAAGAAGAAACTCTTCATTCATTTAAGTTTTATCTCATGATTGCAGCAATTTAGTCACAGCTTCAGGCTCCACATCTAATTCGGTTATCTTACTGTTTCTGCCACAGCAGCAGTGACTTTCTCCACCATAGTCTTCAACTCCTCAAAGTCATCCATGAGGGTTGGAATCAACATCTTCCAAATTCCTGTTAATGCTGATATTTTGACCTCCTCCTGTAAATCACAAATGTTCTTAATGGCATCTAGATGGTGAATCCTTTCCAGAAAGTTTTCAATTTATTTTGCTCTTATTCATCAGAGAAATCATTAACTATAGCAGCTATAATGTTATTAAATATATTTCTTAACTAATAAGACTTGAAAGTCAAAATTACTCCTTGATCCATGGGCTATGGAGTGGAGGTTGTGTTAACAGGCATAAAAACATTAATCTTTTTGTGTTCTTCCACCAGAGCTCTTGAGTCACTAGGTGCACTGTCAATGAGCAGTGATATTTTGAAAGAAATCTTTTTTTTTCTGAGCAGCAGGTCTCGACAGTGGGCTTAACATATTTAGTAAACCGTGTTGTAAACAGATGTGCTGCCATTCGGACTGTTGTTTTATTTATAGAGCACAGGCAGAGTAGATTTGGTATAATTCCTAGGGTTATATTTGCAGCCATGAATAGACTTCTCCTCTCTAGCTATGAAAGTCCTAGATGGCATCTTCTTCCAGTATGAGGAAGGCTTGTTTGGAAGAAGATGCCATACAGCCTGTTTAATCTACATTGAAAATATGTTGTTCAGTGTAGCCACCTCCATCAATTTTCTTAGCTAGATCTCCTGGATAACTTGCTGCAGCTTTTCCATCAGCCCTCAGCTGCTTCATCTTGCACTTTTATGTTATAGAGATGGCTCCTTCCTTTAAACCTCAGGAATCAACCTCTGCTAACTTCAAACTTTTTTTCTGCAGCTTCCTCACCTCTCTCAGCCTTTATAGAATTGAAGAGAGTTAGGGTGTTGCTCTAGATTAGGCTTTGGTTTAAGGGAGAATGGTGGCTGGTTTGATCATCTATCCAGACCACTCAAACTTTCTCCCTATCAGCAATAAGGCTGCTTTGCTCTCTTATCATTTCTGTGTTCACTAGAGTAGTAGCTTTAATTTCCTTTAAGAACTTTTTGTTTGCATTCACAACTTAGCTGTTTGGCACAAGGAGCCTAGCTTTTGTCCTGTCTTGGCCTTTCACATGCCTTCCTCACTAAGCTTAATAATTTCTGGTTTTTAATTTAAAGTGAGAGGTATGTGACTCTTCCTTGAGCGCTTAGAAGCCATTGTAGAGTTATTAGTTGGTCTGATTTCAATATTGTTGCTTCTCAGGGAATAGGGAGGCCTGAGGAGAGGGAGAGAGATGGGCGAATGGCCAGTGAGTGGAGCAGTCAGAATACACACACTTATTAAGTTCCTCATTTTAAAGGCGATGGTTCATGGCACCCCAAAACAATTACAATAGTAACATCAAAGATCACTAATCACAGATCACCGTAACAGATGTAACAATGAAAAAGTTTGAAATAGAGTGAGAATGACCAAACTGTGACACAGGGATACCAATTGAGCACGTGCTGTTAGAAAAATAGTGCTGATACACTTGCTTGATGCGGGGTTGCCACAATGCCACTTGAGCATTGTACATACCTTAATTAAAAATACCTTGCTGCTAAAAAATGCTAATGATTATCTGAGTCTTCAGCGAGTTGTAGTCTTCTTGCTGGTGGAGGGTCTTTCCTAGATGTTGATGGCTGCTAACAGATCAAGGTGGTGATTTCCAATTTCTAAAAAACTCAGTAGCTGCAAATTGCTATAAAGCAAAGTGCAATAAAACAAGGTATGCCTGTATACATTGTTCAAGATACTCTAAAAAAATATGCGCTTAATGTTCCTGGATTGTGTTTTAAAATTGCTGTCATGTGTCCGGGATTTAGTTACTACTCTCCTCTGAGTCAGAACAGATTCCTAGGCCAAAAGCTCCAAGGGCTTGAGCTCAAATCTTGAGTACTTACGTTTTGAGTACTTGAGTACTTATTTTTCACTTTTATACCTTGTTTTAAATTAAATATGGAAATAAAATATTAATAAGATAGCAAACAATGCCACTGCCCATTGACGACTGTGTCTATCAATCAATGTACTTAATGGCAAATTCACAAATATGGAATGCCACACTCTTAAACTCTAAGAATTAATAAAAATATCCAAGATTCATGAACATTTTGCTAAGTGGGAATATTTTGGCCCTTTCATTAAGGCAAAATTGCTTTTCTCTCTGTGTTAAAATAAATTGTAAAACTGTGGACGAGGCTGCATAAGCAGCTAATAAAAGGGGCTTATATCTGGTTATAAATTATCCTTATTGTCTTTGCTTCTCTAGAAATTCACAATCCTATCCTCTGAGCAAATCATTATGTCATTTCTCCCTATATTCCCAATACTACCTGAAGAATATAAAAACCACTTGAAATGATGGCAGATAACAGACTGTTACTTAAGAAACATTTAATTCAAATGGGAGGCACTTTATCATAGTAATCTTGACTAGGATAAAACTGTTATAAACAGAACCCAAATAGAGTTGCCAAACGCATCCTGCAAATAAATCTTTCTCCACCTACTCATCTTTTTAGTTTATATTCCCTGCACCATCAGAGGAAAATGGTAATAATAGTTAATATTTATCTGAGTGTTCAACATGTATCAGGCACTTTCTAAACACACATTCAACTCATTTAATCCACAAGCTAATCATATGTGGATCTCTATCCTCATTTTATGGCTTAGGACAATGATGCACCGAGAAGTTAAGAAACTTGCCACTTACACAGCAAGCGAGCAGCAGATGTGGGATTTAAGTCCGGGTGGACTGATGACTTACCTTAAGCAGTGAATCACTTCTTCCTCCTGTACAGGATCTGTTTATTGATAATATTTAATTTCTCATAATGCAGGTTGTAGCTACATGGTGGCAGACACAGGAATATAAACTGGAGAGCTATACGTATGCTCAATTACGAGGTTTGAAAAAATACCATTGTCTATGTTTAAGTGGTTTTTTGTTTTTTTTTTTTTACATTTGACTTGAAGTTCAGGATCCTGTACATAACTAGATAACCAGGCAAACCACACCAATTCAGAATATTATTTTATACTGTTTAATAAGGTTATTTATGACTACACCTAGGTTTTTAAAATAAATACCATGCTATGTCTATTAGGACAGGTAAGCTCATGGAAACATTGAAGGTGAGCTGTGCAATATGACAGCTATATAAGTTAATTAAAATGAAATAGAGGCAAAATTCCAGTTTCTTAGTCACACTGCCACATATCAGTTGGTCAGTGGCTACATGACTAGTGGTACTGTATGATGGAAGTGCACAGATCTAGAACATTTTTATTATCACAGAAAGTTCTATGGTAGTCCATTGAGGCCCTATCTTTAGAGAACCATTTATGAAATACGTTTGAGATGAAAGTGTACTGGGCTTCTGGTTTAAAATGATGGACTGAGTACATATGAATTCTCTTGTTAAAGTCAAGACTCCACTGAAATTAAAGTACAGAAATGCAAATATGTATACACCAATGACAGCAAAGCAAAGGAGGATAGAGGACAGAAACAGCAGAGAAATTTTAAGAAACTTTTGAAAGCCTGTTGACAGCAGGAAAACATACAGAAAACTGTACCTTGAGATAGGCTTTCAGGAAATCCTAGAGGAGGTAGGGGTAGATTATGTAATAGAATGCTTGAGAGGCTGTAGGTATATAGTCTGCAAGGATGGCAGAGAGGGTAGTGAAGACGAAACGCAAGGGGACTGACTGAAGATCAATATAGGAAGCTGTTATGCCTGCCAGCAATCCTGCTCCCACCCTACTTCTTATGCAACAGTGGACACTTGGCACTGACTTCTCAATAAGAAAGTAGCTGATCCTTTCTAAAGACATTAATGAATGGCTGGGATGAAATATGGGTGGGTGGCATTTCCAATATGACATGATGCTGTCCTGATTCTGACACTTGAGGAGCTCACAGTCTAATTGCCTCTTAGTTGACATTTCCTGCATTTTCTTACATGGAGTTCCAAGAAAGAATTTCCACTCCAGACAAGGACTTGGCAAGAATGAAACTAATTTACAAAACAGGGCAGTTCCTCAATCTTTCTTCCTTAAATATAAATGGAAAATTTAGCATCACTAGGCATATCAGAAACACCAAAACATAACAAATCAAGATGAATCTATAGAAAAGCTTATCCCAGGAAAAAGAGATAAAACAAGAAAAAGAATTTTAAAAAATCCAAATGATACTCAAAAAAGTTGAAAATATACATATAAATAGGAAGAGTCTGCCATGAAAAGAAAATTAGAGCATAAAGAAGAGTTCCCAATGATTAGAAAAATGACTTCTGATTTTTTTAAAAAAGGGGAAGTCGAATATAAAAAAGAGCTCTCAAAGATTAAAAACATGATTGCTGAAATGACTGAATGGCTGAGCAGTAAAGTCAATAACATTTCCCAAAGGGTAAAACAACAATGAGAACAATAAGATAAATAGAAAGAAAAAATTATTACATGAATGTACATGAAGACAACTTTAAAATGTCCAATATCCAACTGATAGGAGTTTCAGGTAGAAAAGTAAAAGAAAGAGGCCTGGAGGAAATTATTAAAGACCAACAATTTCCGAATGCTGATAATGTAAGTCATTAGAGTGAGAAAACAAATCACAACTTATCACGTTCCTTATGAAATTTCAGAAAAGTAATGTGTATAAAGAGATAAAATAAACATAAAACTGTTTACTTATAAAATAATTCAAATCAAACTGGTGTCAGTCCTTGCATCAGCAATGGGTACTAGAAGACAATGGACTGATGTCTTTAAGGTTCTGAGGAAAATGGTTTTTCCACTTAGATTATTATACCCAATCCAATTGTCATTCACACACAAGAGAAGCTATTTAGGTGGTCTGTAAGTTTACCTCCCTTGGATCCTTTTTAAGAAAGTAACAAAGGAATCTACTACAAACAAATGAGAATATAAACCAAATGAGGGCATACTCAGACTACAAGATATTCAACTCAGACAGAAGAAGAGCAAACTCAAAGCTGAAGGCAGACATTATGTCTTGTGAGTAGCCACAACAGAATGGAACAGGAAGGCAGAGGGCTCCAGGGGTTATCTTCAGGTGGGGAATAAGGTGACCTAATAGGTTAGATCAAATAATTGAAAAGTTTGAAGAACTGGATAATATTCTGAAGTTTCACAGTAAATGGAAAAAAGAAAAGAAAAGAAAGGCAGTTAGAAATCTAATCTAATCCTAATCACCTCCCAAAGACCCCATCTCCAAATGCCATCACATTGGGGATCAGAGCTTCAAAATACAAATTTTGAGAGGATATAAATATTTAGTCTATAGCATATAGGTTTAACAGTTTCCTATACCTATAATTTTAGGAGAAAAATATCACTATCATCATTTGAAAAAAATAAGAATAGTTGAAAAATAGCCTTGTATAAAACAAAGTTTGGAAAATGATAGCATATAATTTATAAAATAATTATCTTGTCTTTTAAAATTATTCTTAGTCAAGTCTGCCCATTATCTCCATTGCTTAATTTTACAGATTACCAATGACCTATACCCATTTGCTTAAATTTCCAAGGCCTGATTTTTGCTACGCTCTTGAACCAGTTGGTTTTGCTTAGTATTGCATTTTGA
The DNA here is from genome assembly GCF_000001405.40 of Homo sapiens. Taxonomy (NCBI): domain Eukaryota; kingdom Metazoa; phylum Chordata; class Mammalia; order Primates; family Hominidae; genus Homo; species Homo sapiens. Next base: position 7,896,292 of record NC_000020.11, on the reverse strand, counting down.
ATGTTAAACCTGAGAACCAGTGTTGTTTTCATGATTCTTTTAGCAAATGGTTTGTTATTAGGACATGCTAAAAATAATAGTTTAGAATATAAAATATGTTTTTAAATGTTGCAAGTAGATTTAAGAGAACAGTAATCTATTTTTAAACTGAACTTTCAGAAATTAATATATTTTAAAACATGATTAGAGATGTAGCATAGAATTTTAATTTTTTTTTTTTTGAGACGGAGTTTCACTCTGTCACCCAGGCTGGAGTGCAGTGGTGCAATCTTGGCTCACTGCAACTTCTGCCTCCCAGGTTCAAACGATTCTCCTGCCTCAGCCTCCTGAGTAGCTGGGACTACAGGCACCTGCCAATAGGCCTGAGGCCTGGTTAATTTTGTTTTTGTTTTTGTTTTTTTGTATTTTTAGTAGAGATGGGGTTTCACCATGTTGGTCAGGCTAGTCTTGAACTCCTGACCTCGTGATCTGCCCGCCTTGGCCTCCCAAAGTGCTGTGATTACAGGCATGAGCCACTGCACCTGGCCAATTTTTTATACATTTCAATGAGCAAACATATATTTAATTATAGAACAATATTACTTAAAATAGTTACTAAAGCTATTACAACTTGTTATTAAAGATTGTTTTTTGAAATAGGTTTGTCCACTGCCTGTTACATTTACAGTGCTTGACATTTTTATGTTTTTTTTTTTTTTGGCTATCCAAATTGTTGAGGAATAATTTTGCTAAATGATAAAATGGTATAATCTTATTAATTGAAAATATTTAGCAAGAGTATACCCTTATAAAGATAAACACGCTTTATGTCAATGTATTATCTATTGATACTTTTGTATATTTTACAATTAAATTGCCGTAAGTAGTAACATTTTTTTGTTGTTTTTGGCCAAGAAAACTACCACTAATATTCTAGCGCTAACCCTAGGGTATACTTTTATGCTAAGATTATTGACCCAGGTATGCAGATGGGAGTCAGCCTCCATTTGACTGGAATGTGGAGGCCTCTAAACCCAAGCTGCCTGTTAAGTTACAGTTTCCCTAAGGTGCTTGTTTTACTCTCTCCAGGTGATGATGCCAGGGAGGCTGTTAAACATGGCTTGAATGGGATCTTGGTGTCGAATCATGGGGCTCGACAACTCGATGGGGTGCCAGCCACTGTGAGTTTTGGCAGACGCTAAGATTTCCTTTTGGAGTTCCCATTTCCATCACTGTGTTACTATCTCTATGTCTTCCTCCTCTCTGTGTGTACTTTGTGTAATCACTCAAGGTGAAATACGTGCAAATATGTGAGATCTTGGATTTTAAGTTTAGTGGCACATAACTACCCAAGTTAAAAATTTATTTATGTTTAATTAGCCCAGTGCATTTATTTGTAACCTATGAAAGTCTCTGTTAAATAATAAGTCATTTGTGGGCAAGGATTATTCTGGCATTCATAGATACACCAATAGGTATGTAAACTGGAGTATGAAAGAAAGGATTATGCCATGAATGTCCAAGGACATGAGCTAACAGAGAATTGTGGGATTTCAAAGGCTGTGGTAGAATCTGAGATCATCAGTACAATTGAGACAAGAAATCAGGAGGAGGGACATAATCAGAATTTCCTGTGGGGTGGCGGTTGAAAAGCTGCAGAGAAATGGTGGAGAGTTGGGAAAAGGAGAAAAAAGGCTTAGGTCCGGGCAACGGGAAGTGAGCTGCAAATAGGCTACTCTGGCTGAGTTGTGAACCACCTTGGCTGCACATTGGAATCATCTGGGGAACTTTAAAGAATCCTGATCTGCTCCCCAGGTCTATTTATCAGAATCTCTGGTTGGGGCTTAGGGGTGTATAGGCACTAGTATTTTTTTAAAGCTATCAGGAGATTCCAATGTGCATCTTTGGTTTTTATGCACTGGAGTAGGCAAATCAGAGTCCAAAATCTAGATGTAAAAGTGAACTAAACTGTCCTGAAAGGTGTGGGACTGAATACAACTGTATCGAAGAGCAATTAGACCCTGAAGATCCTAAAGCCAAGAAAACCGACAGAGGCACTTAGGGCAGATTTTAAGATCAGAGACTGGGGGTCCAGAAATGGATCCGAAGCCATGGAGAGGGACACATTTCCTGGGGTGGATTTTATGGATCCATGATCCAGAATGGGGGCCGGGGGCCGTTGGTGGGGTGCTATCAAGTGGTTCCCTTATGTGCTGTCCACTTGTGGGGATTTGGCCAAGCCTCTTGTAGATGGAGCAATGATGTTGCAGATATTTTTTGCTTCTGCTCTGGCCCCATGTGGACCCTCTTTGCAGTGTGATAAGCCTAAGAGTAAAATGGGAAAGAGTGAGATGTGCTCAGGGAATACTAAATAATCCATCTTGTTTGCAGTGTCTGATGCTGTAACTGCCCAACCGTTTCTCCTTGTCCACTGTATAGACAGAGCCAATTTATCAAGACGGGGAATTGCAATAGAGGAAGAGTTTAATTCACGCAGAGCCAGCTGTACTGGGAGATTGGAGTTTTATTATTACTAAAATCAGTCTCTCTGAAAAACTGGGTTTTAGGGTTTTTAAGGATAATTTGGTGGGGAAGGGGTTGGAAAGTGGCGAGTGCTGATTGGTCAGGTGGGAGATAAAAATCATAGAGAGTCGAATTGTCCTCTTGCTCTGAGTCAGTTCCTGGTTGAAGGCCACAATACCAGATGAACCAGTTTATCAGACAGTGGTGCCAACTGATCCAGGTACAGGGTCTGCAAAACATCTCAAGCATTGCTTTTCGGTTTTACAATGGTGACGTTATCCCCAGGAGCAATTTGGGGAGGTTCAGAATCTTGTAGCCTACAGCTGCATGACTCCTAAACCATAATTTCTAATCTTGTGACTAATTTGTTAGTCCTGCAAAGGCAGCCTAGTCCCCAGGCAGGAATGGGGTTTTGCTTTGGTAAAGAGCTGTTATCATCTTTGTTTCAAAATTGAAGTATGAACTAAGTTTCTCCCAAAGTTAGTCTGGCCTACACTCAGCAATGAACAAGGAAAGCTTGGCCGTTAGAATCAAGATGGAGTCAGTTAGGCGAGATCTCTTTCACTGACATATTTTTCTCAGTTATAATTTTTGCAAAGGCGGTTTCAGTGGGAGTGGGAGAGTTTTGGGAAATGCATCTGCCTGGATAGATAAGGAAGGAGATCCTTGACTATTATGAGTCATTGGGTGTGCAATAGAAGAGCCTTGGCTTAGCAGCAATGAGTCTCATAAAGTGGATTTTGTCATGACAAGAGGCAGAAAGGCCAATGAGGTAGTCTTTAAAATTACCATAGCCAAGAAAAGAGAGAAGGAGGGCCTGAACTGCAGAAGGACAGAGGGAATTGCTTTCTGCTCCCTATCTTGGTTTCTTCATCTTTTAAAATTTAAACCTTTCAACTGTAATATTTCATAATGTGATTTACACAGGCAAAGTAACTAGCATCATATAACAAAACTTTATATATCTATGCATATTTACTAAGTAATATATATATTTGTCATATATATATATTTACTATCTATCTACCTATCTATCTATCTACTAAGTAATGTGGGTGAACTTTCCAGACCACCACCTCTCTCAGAACTGGATTCTTATATAAATATTTTCCCTTTTATCGGAACCCTTCAGTGGTAGTTATTATATAGATGGTTGGAATTGGGATGACCATTTGAATTTATCCACACAACTGGAAAAAGAGTAGAACAAATACTTTAGCCAACTAGTAGTGGTCTGTTGTTTCACTGAACTAGCAGGTTGATTTAGTGACATTCATAGACCAATTGTGTGGCTGTGATGGCGGAGTAAATGATGGCAGGGAATATTGGGTGTGCATATTGCGTTGAGTTTTTCCTAAAGCACTAATGGTAGGAACCAAGTAAGTCTTTGTATATTGTAGGATTATACAGTCAAGTGGTGGCTCACGCCTGTAATCCCAGCACTTTCAGAGGCCAAGGCAAGTGGATCACTTGAGGCCAGGATTTCGAGAGCAGCCTGGCCGATGTGTGAAACCCCGTCTCTACTAAAAATGCAAAAATTAGCTGGGCATGGTGGTGCACTCCTGTAATCCCAGCTACTTGGGAGGCTGAGGCAGGAGAATTGCTTGAACCAGGGGGTTGGAGGTTGCAGTGAGCCGAGATCCATGCCCCTGCACTCAAGTCTGGGCAACAGAGTGAGACTCTGTCTCAAAAAACAAAACAAACAAACAAAAGATGAAAAGTAATGAAAACTGGAAGTTGTCAGCTCTTTGCAACTCAGTTTTGCTCCCAGAGACACACTGTTCTAGGTGATATTAAATGTTGGTTGCAGGTAAACAGACGTGGAAAGTGAAGACCTCCTCTGAGTAGGGTGGAGAGGTTGGTCACAGCACAAAGCTTTTTCTCAGATTCATGACTCACTTGTGTATGGAGATGTAGACTTAGTGGGCGGGCCAAATTGTTTTCTAAAAATTAAATATAAATCTACTGAAATCAAATCTAACTAGATTTTAAGGGAAAAATAGCCAAATGGTGTTGCTTATTTCCCTCTCGCTGAGAGAATATGGACACGTCTAGAAGGGCTTTTGAGTTTGTTCCCTGAGACCGTTTTTTAAAAAACAATAACCGAACCTAAGACTTGAAGCTATAAAAATTCTGTAAGATAACATTGAAAAAACCCTTTTAGACATTGGTTTAGGGAATGATTTCATGACCAAGAATCCAAAAGCAAATGCAATAGAAACAAAGAGAAATAGCTGGGAGTTAATTAAACTAAAGAGCTTTTTGCACAGCAAAATGAAGTCAGCAGAGTAAATAGACAATCCATGGAATGGGAGAAAATCTTCACAATCTATACATCTGATGAAAAACAAATATCCAGAATCTACAACGAACTCATACAAATAAGAAAAAAAACAAACAATCTGATCAAAAAGTGTACTAAAGACATGAATAGACAATTCTCAAAAGAAGATATACAAATGGCCAACAAACATATGAAAAAATGCTCAACATCACTAATGATCAGGGAAATGCAAATCAAAACCACAATGTGATACCACCTTACTCCTGAAAGAATGGCCATAATCCAAGAATCAAAAAACAGTAGATGGTGTGGATGCAGTGATCAGGGAACATTTCTACACTGCAGGTAGGAATGTAAACTAGTACAGCCACTATGGAAAACAGTGTGGAGATTCCTTAAAGAACTGAAAGTAGAACTACCATTTGATCCAGCAGTCCCACTACTGGCTATCTACCCAGAGGAAAATAAGTCATTATTCGAAAAAGATACTTGCACACACATATTTATAGAAGCACAGTTCACGATTACAAAGTCGTGGAACCAACCCAAAAGCCCATCAATCAATGAGTGGACAAAGAAACCGTGGTACATATATATGATGGAATATTACTCAGCCATAAAAAGGAATGAATTAACAGCATTTGCAGTGACCTGGATGAGATTGAACACTATTATTCTAAGTGAAGTAACTCAGGAATGGAAAACCAAACATCGTATGTTCTCACTGATATGTGGGAGCTAAGCTATGAGGTTGCAAAGGCATAAGAATGATACAATGGACATTGGGGACTTGGGGGAAAGAATAGGGGGTGGCAAGGGATAAAAGACAACAAATATGGTGCAGTGTATACTGCTTAGGTGATGGGTGCACCAAAATCTCAAAAATTACTACTTAAGAACTTACTCATATAACCAAATACCACCTGTACCCCAATAACTTATGGAAAATAAAATAAAAATTTAAAATTAAAAAACAAACAAAAGACAATAACCAGCTGGGTACAGTGGCTCATGCCTATAATCCCAGCACTTTGGGAGGCCAAGACGGGCAGATCACCTGAGGTCAGGAGTTCGAGACCAGTCTGGTCAACATGGTGAAACACTGCTTCTACTAAATACACAAAAATTAGCCGGGCATGGTGGTTGGCATCTGTAATCCTAGGTACTTGGGAGGCCGAGGCAGGAGAATCACTTGAACCCGGGAGATGGAGGTTGCAGTGAGCCAAGATTGTGCCATTGTACTCCAGCCTGGGCAACAAGAGCAAGACTCTGTCTCAAAAACAAAACAAAACAAAAAAAAACAAACCATAACCCTCCTCTTTGCATGTCGTATACATGAGGGGAGATACTTGCTTGAGTTTTGCCTCACACTTTAGAGCAAATTTAAGGCTCATGATGATGAGAGAAATGTGAGAAAGCATTTGGTGTACCGCAAAGTACAAAGTTCCCTCAGTGTGTGGGTTTTTCTGTGAGCGGTAAAGGTCTTGGGGGAGGCTGTGGTGTCCAGGTCTCAGTACTTGCACAGAAGAACTTGCTATACTGCAGATTTTGTTATGTCATAAGTCAGAGCCATGGAGGCAGCATGATGTCATGGGAAGAGCACCGAAATGGGAGTCTTGTCTCACCTTTCTCAGGGGATAAGGGCTAGGTGAGTAAGCCAATGAGACTTTTAAGCCCAAACATCTTCACAGTATTGTGTTGCTTACAAAAAGAAAGTGGACAACAATATGAATTATACACTTCTATTAGGTTGGTGCACAAGTAATTTCACCATTACTTTTAATGGCAAAGACTGCAATTACTTTTGCACCAGGCTAATATAAATCACAGAGTTTGCTTATGTGGAGAAATACTTACTGTCACTAGGAGTCCTAGAACAATAATTTAACTTCAGTTCATCTTAATATGTTGCTTCTGAGAAGAGTTGCCAGCCTCTGCTACACCCCAGAAAAACTAAAAAATAAGATTGTGTTAAAAATACGCTTATCACCTCATGGTTATAATGTGATCCAGATTGGATTTGAAGTAATTAGAGAATAATAGGATGGAATCAAATTGGTTTCTAAAATACATAGCACTAGATCTTCTCAAATTAAGATTCTCTGGAGTATTTGAATCCTATGAGCATTTTTTTTCAATTTTTCATTTTCATTTTGATGCTATCTGGACACAAACTACCTCAAGCTTAGAAATAATGACTTTCTTTCACAGTGAAAATTATCAATGGCAAAACATTTTTATAGAATAAGCATTTGGGTTGTTAAGTTCTTGGGGATGTTCTGTGAAGTGCTAAAGGGATTTAAATTTTCTTCTATAAAAAGAGTCCATGCAATTCCATCTTTGAGAAACATTTAATGTATCAGATGGCTTTTGCTGTGTAACAAACCACTCTGAAACTTACTGGCTAAACCACAATCGTCATTATTACATTTTACAATTTTGTGGGTTGGCAATTTGGGCTGAGATCTGCTCAGTGTTTTTCTGGTCTTGGCTGGACTCATTCACATGTGTCTGTGGCCAGCTACTAGGCCTACTAGGAGGCTGTCATAGGATGAGCTCAGCAGGGATGGCTCTGCATTGTCTCACATCTTCCAGCATTCTCATGAAGTGGCAGGTCTCCTAGAGAGTGAGTGGAAGCATGCAAGGCCTCCTGAGATCTAGGCTTAGAATGGGCATCCTGTCACTTCTCTCAATTCCACTGATGAAAGCAAATCATAAGTTCAATTCATATCTAAGGTGGCAGAACAGAACCCTCCTTCCTTTCCCTTTCTCCCATAATGTTGCAAGGAAATGAAGATAAAGAGGAGATCATTGCAGCCATTTTTGCAGTTGCAAACAATCAGCAAAATGTATATGAACCAGTGATTTTCTAAGTGTGCTTAGGAAAAGCCCCTTAGGGCTGCGTGGTGAAGTGTGATGGGTAGGGTGGGTAGACAGTCAAGGGAGGATTTATGGGCAGTGACTTGGACTCTGTCTCTTTTGCGTTTAACTAAGCACCTCTGGTTCCATCTACTTTTGTTTATTTTAAACTATTTTGATTTGAACAAAGGTTTCCATACCTAAAATGTCAAAAATCAAGAGTATAACAACCGATGCAATAGGAAGATGGAAAGGTGAGAGCTCCTTGCTAGCAGAAGTTGTGTTTGGGGGAGGGGTTGGGGGAGCAAGTTGTGCAGGGAGCATTCTGGAAGAGTGTGACTTGAACACAAATGAGAAAGAGGATTCTCTTTGCGAGTCAGATCCCTGTGGGTTTCTTTCTACATCCCTTACTCTGCCTGACATTAGTGCCTTAAATATACCAGGTCCTTTATAAAGTGTTTGATAAAACAGTGAATAGAGGGATGAATGAGCAACAGTATACAGGGATCTTACCATATTTTCCTGGAGATTAACTCCAGTGGAGTTAAACCCACAATTACTTGCCCGAAGAAGCACTAAGGAAATAGCTAAAATGAATGGTCTCACAGATGTATAGAAAGCTGAAAAGAGGGAAACATAAACAGGGACATAACATAGTGAGTCTGTCTACTGTATTTATTTATCTAATCTGTTTGATCAGAATTATTTTGTGTAATATACACCTAGTAAAACTGCAGCTATTGAAAGAAAAAAGGGAGGATTGAAACACCTAGCAATAGATGGAACATTGTTGTTCACAGACACACGAAACACAAATCTGGGCTCTGTTTTTTAACTCAGGATTCACATTTTTAAGTACCTTTATTAGTTTACTTTTAGGCCAGGGTTGGCATTGGAAATTACCTAAACACACTTGATTTGACTGACTTTGAAAATGTGTATTGAACCCAAGCTAGATAGTATTTTTTTTTGGTTCTGGTTTCAAATGGGGAAATATGCTTAATTATAGCTTGCATCATGGCTTGGAAATTATAGCATTTATATGTTGATGTAACTTGCCTGAATGCAAAAAGAGGGCTATGTATAGGAAAAGGGACATATGTAAATAGATCCAAAGCATGTTTGGCAAGGCAGAAAAGCTAAAAGGGAAAGAGGAAAATCGCCTTACCTGCCAAACATTTAGGGACCACATGCCAAGTGTTACCTTCACTTCCTTCCAATCTGTAGCCCTGTTTAGTCTTCAGCCTCATACATAAAACCCTCTAAAATTTTAGGGTAGAAGTGGGATAACCTCTGAGTGATTTCAGCACAATTATTTCTGGAAAAGGTGGACTTGAGTGTATGGCAGCTTCCTCAGCATACATTTTAAATAGGAATTGTACTTAATTTAGATTTTTACATTTTGGGATGAATGTGGGTGATTTCTACAGATTTTGACCTCTAGCTCACCTTGTAAATTGTTTTAATTCTCAAATGCAGATTCACATCAAAGTAGCCAATTGTATTAGTTAGCTACTGCCATATGACATTATAAAATGAACAATCCCAAACTCAGTGATTTAAATCATTGAAATAAATGATTTCCATGAAAGTTTGTATTGACCAGTGTCTACTGATCTAGGCTTGGTACTAGCTAGGTGGCTGGTATCCAATTGTCAGCTCCAGCTGGGCTTGGCTGTGCTAGCTCTGCTTCCTGAATATTTATCCTGGGGCCAAAGATGAGGGGGAAACAATACCTGGTGGATGGTCTTCTCATGGCAAATGACAAGGTGCAAAAAAGTAAGTGGGAATACATGAGGTTGCTTAAGGCCTATGCTCAGAAATGGCATTCTACCAGCTCTGCTCACATGTTATCAGCCAAAGTTTCCAAGGCTAAGGTGCAGGCAAGTGCACTTTGATGCCAACCTATGTCCATCATCACCAACTGCCAATCAAGACCAAGATCTTTATGTTGCAAGTGGTCATATTCCTTAAAAACAAGAAAAATGTTTTCACAGAGTGTTCTTTAATATATGGTTGGATGCAAAATATTTTGGATGAGAAAATAAGAGACTAAGTTGTTTTATTATTAGTTGTGTTTGCATTTTACACACTGCTTGCACTATTATCTGAGTATGAATTTTAACAATTGACTTGCAATGAGTAATGTTCAGAATAATTTATGTCAATAAAATACTTAATTTACTTTTATACATTTTATAATCTCAGCACTTTGGGAGGCTGAGGCAGGCAGATCACTTGAGGTCAGGAGTTCGAGACCAGTCTGGCCAACATGATGAAACCCCGTCTCTACTAAAAATACAAAAATTAGCTAGGCATGGTGGTGGGCACCTGTAATCCTAGCTACTTGGGAGACTGAGGCAGGAGAATCACTTGAACTCTGGAGATGGAGGTTGCAGTGAGCCGAGATCACAAAACTGCACTCCAGCCTGGGGGACAGAGCAAGACCCTCTCTCAAAAAAAAACAAAAAAGTTATGAAAGATCAAGTGTTTTATGTTTATAATTTTTTGATGACAATCTTTGAATATAAGAAACAGAAAAAAAGACAACCTTGCACTTTAAAAGAAAAATAAGCTGCTCATTTCCAAATTTAGTTGGTGTTTTAGTTACTAGCATTTGTACCTCTCTTCTTTGAGAAGGAAATAATTTTACCATTTACCCCAAACCTACTTGGCTTCTTTCACTCTAAGCCCTAGCTGGATGTGTCAGTGGTTTTTGGAGGTGGAGTTGAATAACAATTCAGTGTTAATAGAGTCACATTATTGAACTTTTCTTTCCCCAGATTGATGTTCTGCCAGAAATTGTGGAGGCTGTGGAAGGGAAGGTGGAAGTCTTCCTGGACGGGGGTGTGCGGAAAGGCACTGATGTTCTGAAAGCTCTGGCTCTTGGCGCCAAGGCTGTGTTTGTGGGGAGACCAATCGTTTGGGGCTTAGCTTTCCAGGTAACTGGACAAAGAAATGAATATATAAAATAGACAACTTGACAGTAAAACAAATGAATAAAACAAGTCAGACTGATTTAGTTCTGAATCACTCTGTATCTTTTCACTTGGTTAGGGGGAGAAAGGTGTTCAAGATGTCCTCGAGATACTAAAGGAAGAATTCCGGTTGGCCATGGCTCTGAGTGGTAAGACTCATTCTTGTTTACAACTTTCTTTTCTTTTATGATCTTTAAGTCAAGGTCCTTGGTGGAGAGAAGTGAATTTGAAAGGGAAGAGTGTGGGATCATTTGAGTACATTAAATTTGACGTTGACTCCATATTTACAGCTTTGAGGAACTCTGCATGTGCAGTCTCTAGTAATTACTTAACCTCTGTTTTTCACAGCTTTATTAGGAATATTTTGGTGAGTACGAGTACTTGGAGGTGGTTGTAACATCATATTCTTCCTCATCTCATAACACATGAACACATACATCTACCTGGATAGTCAACAGCTCCCTTTGGACATCTAAGTGGCATCCCAAACTCTTACCTGTCCAAAACTAAGCTGCTAACTTTCCACGTTAAACCTGCTCCACCTGCAGTTTCTCCATCAGTTCATGTTAATCCCATAGTTTCAGTTGCTCAGTACAAAAATCTTCAGTCATTCTTGACTCTTCTTTTCTCTCACACCTTCTTACTCATAGGGGCTCGATCTTCAAAATATAATCAGAATCTGACCTCCCTGTCATCTCCACTGCCACCGCCCTGGCTGGAGCCATCATTGTCTCTCATCCCATGGACATTGTGGGTGGGCACGTCTATTCTCACCTATCTCCCCTCTCCCAGTCTGTTCTGATCATGGCGGCCAGAACGGTTCTTTTAAACATTCATTGAGATCATGTTACTTTTCTGATCAGAAAACCCCCAGTGGCTTTTGGTTTACTCAGAGTAAATGCCAGAGTCTTTATAGTGGTTTACAAGGCCTCATATGGTTTGACTCCCGTCATCTTTCTGATCCCAACTTCTACCAATGTCACCCTTACTTATTCTGCCCATGTGACATTTTGCCTCCATGATGTCCCTTGACTATGTGAGATATGTTTCAGCCTTGGGGTATTTGCAATGGTTGTTCGCTCTGCCTGGATGCTCTTCCTCCAGACAGCTACATGAAAAACTTCTCATCTTTCATGTGTTCACATAAATTGTACTTTCTTAAAGGTGCCTATCCTGATTACTGTGTTTAAAATAGCAGTTTATCCTCCACCCATCTATTCGACTCCAGTTTTCTTTTCCAGTTTTCTTTCATCCTTTTTCCATAGTACCTATTGTCTCCTATATATCAGCTATCATAGAATTTCCTTTTAAAATTATATGCATTATATATTGTCTGTTTCCCCTTTAGAACATAAGATACATGAGGCAGGGGGCTTTGTTGTCTTGATTGCAGTATTTTCAGTGTCTACAGCAGTGCCTGGCACACAAACAATACATATTTGCTGAAAGAATAAATAAATAAATACACATTAAAATACTACTAGTGACTATTTCTAATTTGACTCAGAAAGAACCTGTAGCTAGAAAGAATGGCTGTGAGTTGATTATCAGCTACCGCATTTTTGAAGGTAAAGAGGGCTTCCTTTTCTGTAATCCATATCATCTGGATTGTTCCCATAGATAAAACTCCCCAGATAAATGGTCTACTCACTACTGTACTCAGTCTGCAGACAGAGCCTCAACAAGAAGAATGCCATTCTGTGAATCCTCACTATGCATTTTAATTTGCTACAGACATATCCTAAAAGAGAGCTTTCAGTCACTGACTCTCTATTAAATGTGGCAGAAAGAATATACTCTTTGTGTTAATAAAAATATGTGCCAGTCATTTTGTGTTAAGGACTGTTTAGGTAATAAAAAATGGTCTCATGCCACATAAGATTTGGCAAGCCTACCTTGAATCATAAACCTTACATTTGTCAAATTTTACATTCCTTGGGAAAACGATTACCTGCCTGATTATTATTGCATTCAGTTCATATTAAATGTATGCATTATTTTTTCAGGGTGCCAGAATGTGAAAGTCATCGACAAGACATTGGTGAGGAAAAATCCTTTGGCCGTTTCCAAGATCTGACAGTGCACAATATTTTCCCATCTGTATTATTTTTTTTCAGCATGTATTACTTGACAAAGAGACACTGTGCAGAGGGTGACCACAGTCTGTAATTCCCCACTTCAATACAAAGGGTGTCGTTCTTTTCCAACAAAATAGCAATCCCTTTTATTTCATTGCTTTTGACTTTTCAATGGGTGTCCTAGGAACCTTTTAGAAAGAAATGGACTTTCATCCTGGAAATATATTAACTGTTAAAAAGAAAACATTGAAAATGTGTTTAGACAACGTCATCCCCTGGCAGGCTAAAGTGCTGTATCCTTTAGTAAAATTGGAGGTAGCAAACACTAAGGTGAAAAGATAATGATCTCATTGTTTATTAACCTGTATTCTGTTTACATGTCTTTAAAACAGTGGTTCTTAAATTGTAAGCTCAGGTTCAAAGTGTTGGTAATGCCTGATTCACAACTTTGAGAAGGTAGCACTGGAGAGAATTGGAATGGGTGGCGGTAATTGGTGATACTTCTTTGAATGTAGATTTCCAATCACATCTTTAGTGTCTGAATATATCCAAATGTTTTAGGATGTATGTTACTTCTTAGAGAGAAATAAAGCATTTTTGGGAAGAATATATCTAGTCCTTTTGTAACAATATGAAATTTTAATTTTATTTTCTGAACCTTAATTACCTCCTCGTTTCCTTTCTGCATACCTTATTGGTTATCCTATACCTCCTACTTCTCTTTCTTTACTCTTTTGATTCTTTACCATTGATAACCATGTGCAAGGGTAGCTACATAATGTGTGAGGACTATGCCAAATTAAAATATGGGCCCCTTGTTCAAAAAGCAAGACAAAACCCTTTTCCTTCCTTCCACAGTTTTTCTCTTAAGCTGTCATGGAGACTTGCTGTTTCATGTCATGCTTCCTTGGGCATGGGGATACCCACATGGCAAGCGTAGAGCCTTCCAGGTGCCTGGGGTATTGCCTTACAACTTGCCTTGATCTTACCTGTGCCCATGCCCAGAACCCTGCTGGGGGTGCAGGGCAAAAATACTAAGCAGAATGCCTGAGCCAGCAACCAAGAACTCACTTAGCAGACATGGGGAGGTGGCAGGAGATGGAACAATGTATGATGCTAGGCTCTCAGTGTCCCCGGCACAAGTTCCATTGTTGCATCGTGCATCACTTATAAAACAAATTCAATGATAACATTATTAAGTATTTCAAGCCAATAACCACAGAGCATCAAACCCTAAGCCCAAGTCCCCTTTCTGAGCATGGAGCCCTGTCCACTGCATGAGGAGCATGCCCATGAAGCCCTGATCACGTGACTTTTATATTCATTCCCAAACCAAGCATTTTACAAATTGGAGGTGAACTAGGTAGCCAAAGTAATTTTGAAGTTGATTTTTCGTCATCTCTCTGGTTGTTCAACCACTGTGAGGTACTTAATGAAACAATTCAGAGAATCACTACCTGAAAATATGATTATTATATTATGTTTTATTATTATTATGCTTTATTATTCCCAGAACTCTTTCTCTCTCCCTTTCTCCTTCTAAATGCTAGGAGATTCCTAAATATTAGCATGAACACACAAAAAACTTTTTTCTGAAATTATATACCAGTCTGGTAAAAAATAATCACTTAACTTTATGAAAAAGAAAAGTTATCCCTTAACTTTTTCTCAAAATACGCAGAGTAAATATTTCTATCATATCATATAATTGTTTTATGCTTTTCCAATTAATATTGATCAATGAATAAGTATATAGTAAGCACCTCTAATTCCCTCAACAGATTCAAAATGCCTTCTCTGTTGGCACAGAATTTCCATTTTGACTACATCACAGTGTGTGGTTGTGTGGGCGCTTGCTTAAAAGTTGATAACTTCCCAGAAAATAGAGATCTCCAAGTGGTGTTTTATGTAAGGTTTATGCAAGTAACAGTGAGAATGGGGATTACTGGTCTTAATTCGTGAGTTTCTCATAATTTTTAAGATTCCCTGAGCCACAATAACTCCTTGAATGTAGATTTTCATTTATTTTTTCAGAGTTGGAATATATCTGAATGCTTTTTGTTTGATAATTTTTTCATAATCAAAGATATACAGCTGTTTGCTTTTACTTTTTTTTAATGAGTGATATGGACCCAATTGTAACAGTACTGAAATCAAAAGTGTGTAATGGTTAAAAGAGGAATGGTGTGTGTTAGTTGTACAATCCCTTCCAAGAGTTTTGAAACTTAGGCTTGATAGACAGATTTCTTTGAGGAAGCCAACAAACGCCTCTCTTCCTAAGTTTCTTGAAATATGTTGGCGGGAGGGGTAACAGGGCTTCATTACGGCCGCCTCTGCCTTTTGTGTATGTTATTTTGTGGATATAGTGCTCTAGAGCAGTTTCTCAAGCTTTGATAGTGCATCAGAATCAATGGCAGGGCTCGCTGAAACAGATTGCTGGGCCCCACACCATGGATTCTGTTGCAGCCATCTATGTGAGCCAGCTATTGGGTGTGGGCTCCAGGCAGAGAGGCCAAGCCTCACCTTAAAAGGCCAGCTGTTCCTTAGCCAATTGATACCTTTTCCATTGAATTGTATTTCTTATTGACATATGAAATTCATACAGCGAGGTGTGTAAGGTGCTGAAACCTGAGTGTATCGGTGGCTACACTTTACATTTACACCTATATGCCTACCTCCCAGATAAAAATACAGAACATTTTCATCATCTCCAAACATACTCCTTCTACCAGAGATAAACCTATGCCGATTTCCATTGCCATTGATTGGTTTTCACTGGCCTTACACTTCACATAAGTGGGACCATACAGTGTGCACTTTTGTGTTTAGTTTCTTTTGCTTAACATATGTGAAGTCCATTCATGTTTTTGAGTGTATCAGAAGTTAGTTCTGATTATTGCTCTGTAGTAATCCATTGTAGGAATGTACCACAATTTATCTATCTCTTATCCTATTGGGTTTTTTTCCAGTTTTCTGCTGGAAGTTGATTCTAAATGATTTTTGCAAAAATGCAAATTCAGTGTTATTTTATAATTTTTCAAGAAATGCAAGACATTCAGATTTTTATGTAAAAAATTTTAAATATTGGACGATATTTAACATTTTGAACACTGAGCAGGTCATGTTAAACATGGATGTGGCCCACAAGCCACAAGTCTGAACCCTAAAACATTTTATCCTCACAGATGTTTTCCTCATGGCTGAAATCACTCTTATGCCCTGATACAGAATAATGCCTGAGACCTGTAGCAGTGATGGGTGCCTGCCAACAGAAATTGCCAGAATCTCCTTTGTTTAAGCTTATTTATATTCAGCTACCTGGAAGAATGTGGGTGTGAAACAAACCTTCTTCTCTTTACGAGGCTTGGGGAGCCCAGGTTCCCAGGCCTGTAGGAATGAATTGAATAGTATTGATGCCTCTTAGCGTGATGTTTGCAGACTGCATTTGGGTCATTGCTGTGTTATTCATTTGCTTGTTTATCTTGCCAAAACATTGGCGTTTGTGAAACAGCTTTAGAGGGCTGTGGTGGATTAGGAAACCATGAAAGGAAGTTGTGGCTTGTTCTCAAACAGAGAGAAAAGACTTTTCTCTTCATTGTAAAATTCATAACTTATTTACTGTCTGATGGACTATGTTCCATGTCAGTTGCATAGCAACAAAATAAAGTTTGTCCGTTTAGGAAAGTCCGAAGATTTCTTTTAACATAAAGACAGGATGCTTTCCGAACTTATATTTGCCTCAGCGTGCATTCTGTCACATGCCAATTATAGAACAACATCAGGATGACAGTTTATTTTAGGTAATGTAAATGTTAGCTCAAATGATAGGAGGCTATTATTATATGTTTATGTGATGGGAAATCTCATCTATTCTAAAAGATGCAATTTCCTGTTCTTACCCAAATCAAACTTGAGCAATAGGTGTCTTCTTTCCTCCCTAATGTACTTGCCCATTGTTGGAGGAAAGAAAAAGATACTTTTTTATTTTTAAATCCAGTTATCTGTTTGCTTTTCCACTGACATTTTTCTGATCTTAGATAATGAGTATAAGTTCTATTGAAAGTTTTCCAGGACCTTCTAAAAATTAAGAATTGTGTTACCCTGAATGATGCCAAAAGAAGAGCTGGAATTCAAGTGAGTGATAGGCTTGATTTTGTTTGTTCCTTTGATTCAGCATCACAGGGGAAAAGAACCTTGCTTGGTTTCCTATGTATCTTTTCTGGTTAGATCATCTGTCTTTAACGCTGATTTATTTTCCATTACAGTCAACATCCTGAGTCTGTTTCTAACAGTGGAATCTTCATATTGATAGAGTCTTTCATGGTAAGATTCTTTACATGGTATGTTCGAGCTTTCTTACTAAACTTAATGAAGATCAAGACTAACCTGCTCAAAAGCACTGAGTTAGAATCCTGAAGATCTGAATGATTAGCTGGGTGAACTGTTATGTAATCTGAGGACCCTCAGATGCTCAGCTGAGAAATGAGGGCGGCAGCATCTGTCTACCTCTCTGGGTCATTATGAACACAGCATGGTGAAATAGGTGAGAATTTATCATGAACTGTAAATCAACAGTCAAAGGAAAATATTATTTTATATTAATAGTTTAATAATGATTATTATCAGGAAAGAGAATAAAAGACATTCTAATAAGTATTTTATTTTATAGTATTTATTTAGAGAAAAGTTGAATATTTTACAGAGTAAAATAAACATCACCACAGATTTTACCACAGAGAGATAAATGTTATTTATATTGGGTGAATATCATCTCAGACTTTGCTGTGTTTGAATAATCAGTAGCAACTGGATAGATAGAAGTGGTTTTGAAGCCACCTTTGCAAAAATTATAACAATGAGAAAATTATGACAGTGAAAAAGACCTGATCTAATCAACTTCCATCTTACCTTTGACCTCTGAACTCTCCATGGTCATTCCTGGGCTTGGGCCAAGCTAACATTGGGAGATATTTAGTTTATAGTTTAAATAATAACAGCCCTTCTTAAAAACTAAACAGCCCTTGTAAAGCTAAGGAGGATGAGAGGAGCCTAAATTCTGTTAAGATGTAGGCCTAAAGGATGATCAGCCTTTATTCCAGGGGTCACAAAATTTGGAACTTCCCCAATTACTCCTGCAGATAACATCACCATTGTGTACCCTAAGATTGGCCTTTTGAGATGTCTTTTCAGTCTTTGGCATTTCTGAGGACTGGGCGGCCCCACACTGATCCATGACTCTTGACGCAGCTGGTCCTGTGGCCCCCACCCAGAAGCAGACTCAGTGCGCAAGGACCATTTTCCAAACTCCTATGATTACATCCTTAGCCAGTCAGCATTACCCATTCCCTAGCCAGCCAAACTACCTTTGAAAAATCCTCACCTTTGGATTTTCAAGGAAGTTGATTTGAGTAATAATAAAGCTCTGGTCTCCTGTTTAGATGGCTCTACATGTATTAAACTCTTTCTGTATTGCCAATTTGTGGCTTGAAAATTTGGCTCTATCTGTGCAGTGGGCAAAATGAACCTGTTGGATGGTTACAGCTTTACTAAAATAGGACTATACAATACATGTTATATTTGAGTAAGAGATTCAATTTATTTTTACTTGAATTTGTAGAAGGAAAAGTAAAGTTGGAAACATTTAAAATTAAGGTAATTTTTTTTCAAAAAGATATATCGTAGATTAAAAGTGCCTACACAATGTATTTGGAAAATTATGAAAACTTAAAAGATTAAAGTAATTTTTGATTTATGGCATACACTTTCTTTAATTTTAGCACCAGTTAACTCATTGCTATAAAAAATGAAGTAGTCTCTTACATCTACTCTCCTTTTTTCCTCTTCTCTTCCCCTTTAGTGTGTGTACATATATATATATATGGATATAAAAGGATATATGTATATATCCTTTTTTTGAGATGAAGTCTCACTCTGTCATCCAGGCTGGAGTACAGTGGTGTGATCTTGGCTCACTGTAACTTCTGCCTCCTGAGTTCATGTGATTCTCCTGCCTCAGCCTCCTGAGTAGCTGGGATTGCACTCATGTGCCACCACATCTGGCTAATTTTTGTATTTTTAGTAGAGATGGGGTTTTACCATGTTGGCCAGGCTGGTCTTGAACTCCTAACTTCAGGTGATCCCCCCCCACCTCGGCCTCCTAAAGTGCTGAGATTACAGGCATAAGCCACTGCACCCGCTTTTTAGGGCCAGGCGCAGTGGCTCACGCCTGTAATCCTAGCACTTTGGGAGGCTGAGGCGGGTGGATCACGAGGTCAGAAGATCGAGATCATCCTGACTAACACAGTGAAACTCCGTCTCTACTAAAAATACAAAAAATTAACTGGGCGTTGTGGCAGGCGCCTGTAGTCCTAGCTACTGCGGAGGCTGAGGCAGGAGAATGGCATGAACCCGGGAGGCGGAGCTTGCAGTGAGCAGAGATCACACCACTGCACTCCAGCCTGGGTGACAGAGCCAGACTCCATCTCAAAAAAAAAAAAAAAAATATATATATATATATATATGTATGTATATATATAATTTTTAAATTATCAAAGTATAAATCATTGTCTTCTCTATCATTGATTTCCAAAATTGTTTAATACTGGTTTTCATTTAAATGGGCTCGGTACTTATAATTGTCATAGCTTCTCCATTCTCTGGTTCTTACCTTTGATTCACCTCCTGGTTCCCTAGATTTCACTGGCCAACTGTAATTTCAAAAATAGCTGGTATTCTTTAAGTTTGTGCATGTTTAAAAATCTACTTGATGTTCTTGTATTTGAATGACACCATGGATAGGTATACTACTTTGGGGTCACATTTTCTGTTTGTAGACATTTTGGATTGCTTTCTGGCATTGAATTTTATGTGAAGAAATAAAAACTGGCTTACTCTTTTGCTCGTGATGTTTTAACATAATCTCCCCACATCCACTTTCCAAACCCAATGTCTAAAAAATTATTTCTTTGTCTTTGAATTTCAATGACTTAAGCTAAGTTAAAGCTAAATGTCACATGGCTTACAATTGTGAAGCACAGCTATGCCTAACCCACTGTATTTTATTTTAAATTTGAATATACAAAAAACAACCAGCATAAGTCTCATATCAATTATTAACATATATTCTTACAACATTGTTCTCTACTTTTCTATGTGATCCTTACCAAACACATTATAATGACATTAATAGCAATGGTTATTATATTATAAATTATTGAACATTTTTTCTTTGACAACAAACTTCCTTAGAGGTTTTTGTTATCCAGACCAGTGCTATCTGGTGAATGTGCTGTGATGATGAAAATGTTACCCGCACTTCCAATATAGTAGCCATCAGCCACATGTGGCTATTGGGTGCTTGAAATGTGTCTAGTTTCAATGCTTCATTTTATTTAATTTTAATTAATTTAAATTTAAGTAGTCATATGTGCCTAGTGGGTGTGTATTGAATAGCACAGATCTAGATGTTATGAATAAAATTGAGCACTGGGGAAACGTAATCTAATAGACTCAAGACTAGTTTAAGTTGACCAACCCTGCTATGTGATTATCCTGGCGAAGTCATATAAAGTCTTTTTGATGTAGCTTTCCAGTTTAAAAAAATACAATTTTATAGTAGCTCTTACCCTTATGGTAGACAGATAAACTGCAATGATAAATGTAATACAATTTATAAGTTATTCTATATAGCATGTAAATTAATTGCAATAACAAATATAATAAAATTTTAAAATTATTTGGGTAATGCTATATTGATCTAAAGCTGCTTTATGGAATTATTTTTGGTTTGTTTTTCTTATTAATCTTTCCATTCAGTTTACTGTTACCTTTTTGGTAAGGATAACCTAGAAAAGCACAATAATTTTGTCTAAAGTTTAGAGTTCATGGCACAGCCCAGCTGTTGAGTGGACAAACTTGAGAAATCTCAAGTCAAACTTGACAAATCTTGAGAAAATAATCTTGAATGTTAGATTTCATCCTTTAGGTGGAATAGTAATATAGCTAATCAGTAAGACGTAATGACAAGTAGTGATGCTTTCAAACAGTAAAAATAATGCACGTGTAAGCTATTATGAAAAGAATAGTAATAAAAATATTTGGCATGTAATGTAATGACTTATATCTTGGAAATCTGGAAAGAATGAACAAAACTTTTAGATATAATGAAATATTTCCAGCAGAGTGAATGAAACCCTGTATCCTAAACAGCAAAATGGCACCAATAAGAAGTCTTTCTCAAGAAATGTGGGCATCTCCTTGACATAAGAACACAGGCTTCTTTATCATATGAACAAATAGCATTGCCCAAGCCAATAACATATTTTGGCTCTGATTTTTCTTTATTTTTAATACTATGTTATTTAGTTTTATTATTAATGTGCAAACCACTCAGTTTTTAAAAAATATTCTGAATAATAGTAGACAATAGCTATCCCATATACAAAAATATAGTTTTGGTTTGAATTTTGTTTTATTTTTTAATCTCCTCAAGCATTTATCCTTGTTGTTAAAAACAATCCAATGACCCTCTTTTAGTTATTTTAAAATGTGCAATTAAGTTATTATTGACTATAGTCATCCTTTTATGCTATCAAATACTAGGTCTTATTCATTTTTTCTACTCTTTTGGGATCCATTAAACATTCCCACCTCCCCTTGAATCCCCTACTACCCCTCCCAGCCTCTGTGTTACACAAAATTCTACTCTCTATGTCCATGAGTTCAATTGTTTTCATTTTTACATCCCACAAATACATGAGAACATGTAATGCTCATCTTTCTGTGCCTGGCTATTAAACTTAACATAATGATCCTCCGGTCCTATCCATGCTGTTGCAAATGACAGGATCTCATTGTTTTTACAGTTGCATAGTACTCCATTGTATATATGTACCACATTTTCTTTATCCATTCATCTGCTGATGGACACTTTGGTTGCTTCCAAATCTTGGCTATTGTGAACAGTGCGGCAACAAACCTGGGAGTGCAGCTGTCTTTTCGATGTGCTGGTTTCCTTTTTTTTGGGTATATACCTGTATTAGTCCATTTTCACGCTGCTGATAAAGACATACCTGAGACTTCGCAATTTACAAAAGAGAGAGGTTTAATTGGACTTATAGTTCCATGTGGCTGGGGAAGCCTCACACTCATGGCAGAAGGCAAGGAGGAGCAAGTCACATCTTACGTGGATGGCACTGGCAAAGAGGGAGATTGGGCAGGGAAACTCCCCCTTATAATACCATCAGATGTCATGAGACTTACTTGCTATCATGAGAACAGCATGGGAAAGACCCACCCCCATGATTCAATTACCCCCCACTGGGTCCCTCCCACAACATGTGGGAATTCAAGATGAGATTTGGGTGGGGACATGGTCAAACCATATCAATACCTAACAGAGGGGTTGGTTTGAATTTTGGTTTAAATATTATTTGATACTATAACCATACTATCTAGTTGAAGTACTAAAGAGCAATATTTCTCAAGTCTTTTTTTAAGAATTTCTGAATAATAGTAATTTTATATAATATGTGTCATAGTGTGAACATCCCTGTTTTAAGTAGTAATATTTTGGTTTTAATACACCACAAAAGTAGTCAGGAAGAAAATCTTTTTAAAAATTCTTCAATTATTTGACTTAATAAAGCTAACATTCACTGTTTCCAAGATTCCCAGCCACATATATGACAAAATAAATAAATAAATAGAAAAGCACCACAAACAACAAACTGCACAAAACCACAAAAAATATTGGAAGACTCAGAAATTAGTAAAATGCTAATCTACCAAAAATTTAGTTTATGCAGTTATTATAAATTCATCATTATGGGCAGGGCAGTGTATAAGAAAGCCAGAATCCACAACTTGAAAAGGTAATCACTGATGCAACTGTTTTGTCTACATAACTGCATAAACAGTTTGCCTACTTTCCACTGAGTTAACCCAATACTTTGTTGTCATGTAAACACAATCTAAATGAAATCCACAGATTTTCCCCCGAAATCTTATTTTAGCTAAATTTTTCTTGGCTATTCTTATTCCAGGTCTGTTAACAATTTATCCAGAATTATTTGATTGGCTTTGAACTCTTTTGCCATCTCTTGTCCATCCTTTATTGGGCAGGCAAATGATGGAGAAAATGATGCAAGTGCAAGCAACTAAACATATAAAGAAGGTCTGTGGAAAGCAGAGCACTCCCCACAGTTTTGGGCCTTTCTCTGGAGGGGAGTGGTTAAAAGGACATGGGAGGTTAATGTCGAAACTGCCTCCCCATTAGAGAGACGTCCTTTTTCCAGAAGTTCAGGAATGAGAATCTCTCCCTCCTCTACTAAACATCCTCTTTGTTAACACTCCTGCTTCCAAAGTTCTTCAAGGCTTCAGGTTAATAAAATAACAACATTTATTTTAAATGTTAATTAAAATTATATATGATGAATCAATTACAACTATTCAGTCTCTAGTTGTTTTCACAAATATTTACATTCCTATTGCTTATTCAAACCTTCCTGATGATGGAGGTTTACATGATCCTCTAATGTCTTTTACCTTGCCCAGTAGAGGGGAAATGAGAGATGATACAGCTGCAACAAAAATAACAACAAAATAAGACTCACATCCTGCAAGAATCTAACTCTCCTATCAATTATAATTTATTTTATGTACTCCTGACCATTCTGTCTTTTTGACTCTTGTTCAGGAATAAAGCATAAATCAGGTATTCTTAGTAGTCTATTCATTATAAAAGCCAACATTATTTTCCAGTCTAGATTCATTTGAAACTCAGAAATATTGGCCCCTATCAGAAAATGTTCATAATCAGAATTTGTCTGCACTATTAAAGCATTTACTAAAATCAGTAATTATGCATGTCCTCTGCTATCACATGATAGGATTTCAATTATTAAAGCAATATACTATTTTTAAAAATTTGTAGGCAGTTTCATATAGAGAGTGAGAGGAAAGTTTGCAGGGATGGAAGTTTTTGGACACAACCTATAATTTTCTAGAGGTTGTCCAGATGCCATTAGATATTTCTCTGAGCACTGAGGTCATTCCCTGATGAGTATTGGGGTAAGAGCTGCCATCCAGGTCTTTGGACTCCTGACAAAGAGCTCTTTCTGTCAGGGCACATTGCTTTCTGCTCTGCACTTTGGTAACAGAAATACAGTGCCTGGAACAATAGAAAGACCACCCTTCAGTGGCGGTCTGTCTACTCATGTGGCATTGCCTCCAGTTCTGGCCACACTGAACGCTTTCAGGGGTGAGAAAGCATGTGGGAAAGACGCCTGGAAATCAAGTCATGCTTATAGAATCCATCATAGTCTTGGGGTTGACATGTGATGATCTTTACTTCCTTACATGCTGTTAAGTAGACGTATGGGTAAACTTAATGTCGTCCTAAGCACAGAAGAAGCATCAATATGGAAAAATGATGAGGAAATAGTGCTAGAACTAGACTGTCATTTTCATGAAAGGAGGAAATGTATCTTTTTTGCTATCTTACCAATACCTTGCATAAAAACTATAGGTATTCAGTAAATATTTGTTAAATTAACTAATAAACATGTTAACTAATGTCATGGATATTACTGACTTTTTAAAAAACTCTAACATTCTATGCTTAGAATCAAATATAGCAAAGACTTAAAAGTATGCCACTGAGAAAATGTAAAATCACAACATTTAATGGAAAATTTTAAGAACATTGATTTTATAAGAATTTTTCATGATCATAAACTGCTATTGTAAAAATATGCTTAATTTTCATAACAGAAATAAACAGAGAATATTATAATATGAAAGTATGATTTTCTCAAATATAGATTGCAGCATTTAAATACTTATTTGATTCTATTCTCATAGCAAATAACTATCAAATTGAGATTAATAAATAATTGAAATATCACAAAGTCATAGAATTTTAACATTACTTAAAATATGTCAGATTATGTGGCTAGAAGTTACTCATGTGTAGTCTGTGAAGCAGTCTTACAATCCAGTCTTTGAAAAAAGAATTCTGTGGGCACCTCACAGTTGTGGTGTGCCCAATACTCAGTACTGGGCACATCAGTTGGATGAAGATACATGCTGCATCTCAATTGTGCAAGAGTTAGTTCCTAAAAAGTGGTAAGTAATTAATACTCCTTTAGTCTTTGTGAGAAAGTTAATTTTTATCTAAGCATCCTAAACAATGTTCAACTAAAATTTCATAACTCATGATCTTTTGTTGGAAAGAACAAAATGCAACTTGAACCAGGTGAAGGAAAAGGAGGAGTGTTTAGTATCTCAATCACAGGAAGTGTTGAAATACCAAGCCACAGGAAAAGCGTGGATGCGATTGGGCCCAGGGAAACTTGGGACCATGGGTTTGAAAGCAACAAGGACTACTTTTGCTTTTCTCCAGGTTTGTTCCCTCAGAATGTAGCCTTTATACTTTTTCACTCTAGGTTGGCATCCTCCTCCTAGTGAGGCACATGGCCATCTGCAGCTCCCCAGATTCCTATCTCTTGGTTCTGCCACGAGGAATTATTCACTCTCTTGTTCCAGCTCCAGTTCAATATTATCTGAGAGCAGAGCGCTAATTGAGTCTCTTGCCCATCTCTTGCCCAATCAAACTTGGTCAGGAAGAAAGGGCACTATATGAATTGGGGGCTACTTTGAGTTCTAAATGTTGTAGTGTGGAGAAGAGGGAAGAGAAGGGGTACCTTTTTCCCCAGAGTAGGAAAGCTTTATTGGAAACAAAACAATAGGCGTTTCCCACAGAAACAACAAATAATTTTTAGTATAAAATATTTTGGACATTGGCAAGATTTTGGACATACTTGTTCTAAAAGAGTACCTCTTTTTGGCCAGGTGTGGTGGCTCATGCCTATAATCCCAGCACTATGGGAGGCCAGGCAGGTGGGTCATGAGGTCAGGAGATCGAGACAATCCTGGCCAACATGGTGAAACCCCGTCTCTACTAAAAATACAAAAATTAGCCAGGCATGGTGGCGTGTGCCTGTAGTCTCAGCTACTCAGGAGACTGAGGCAGGAGAATTGCTCAAACCTGGGAGGCGGAGGTTGCAGTGAGCTGAGATCACACTACTGCACTCCAGCCTGGGCAACAGAGTGAGACTCTGAAAAAAAAAATCACCTATTTTTCTAGAATTCATGTGTACTTGGCACCCTGTATATTCTTTGACCTTAGTCTTATAATACCTAATGGATACAGCATCACGTTGCAACTGGGAAGTTACATGCTTTGGAAGAAATGGTCTGGAGACCCACTATGAGTAGTGTCTTATTTTGTTTGCTTAACCACCTATCAGTGATCCAGAACCGTAATGTCAGTTTAAGACCAAGAATGTTTGATGGGAGTTTAACATGTTATTCCAAAGTTAATGTGTTTATTCTTGGAAATGTAACTTCTTGGTTACTTTATTATTGATGTGCATAAATTAATCATGTAAACTTAAAGTTGAGTCTTGTGGTTTGAAAAGACACTCTGCCCATTAGCGTGTCTTAAGTCTTATGGTAAGAAAATCTCATTTGTTAAACCAGGGATTTCCCATTAGTCCTTTGTGAATGTGTACAATTAATATGGGAAATAACCAGAGTTCTGTGGAATGCTGTGTGAGAAATGTTAAAAATCCAGCCCCTTCATCTGTAGTTTAGGGAACTGACCAGAAAGATTATGACTTACTCAAGGCCAGTCAACTAATGGTCACAGAGCTGGAGATAATTAATACAGTTTTAATAATAAAATTCATCAAGGTTTAATGGTAAGAAAAGTAAAAGTGTGTTTATGCAAATTCCTGTTAGAATTATCTTAATCAGTTTAAATAGACTGTAGACTTTAGTCAATTATTACTTCTAAAAATTATCACCTTTGAAGTGGTACAATTTTGTTTTCCACATTACAATGCAGAAGGAACTATATGAGACAAAAAAGGTACAGTTGGACACTTCAAGATCAACAGACAGTAAAAGGAATTCACCACAGAGGAGTTGGAAATCCTCAGGCATGATGGAACCCTCAAATCCAAACCCAATGTGTTAAAGTGGCTGTTCTACAAAGGTGCCCTTCTCTAACAGGTGTAAACACTGACCCCATGGAAGTGGTCTGAGACCCTTTTGTACCTTGCTAATCATCTTGATTCTAAGCATACTTCAGTATAGAGAGCCAATACTGTTCCTTGAATCCACTGAGTAGTCTCTCCGCAGCAATGGAAATGAACAATCTACTTTTATTGAGTTAGTGTCAGCTCTACATATAGGCAGAACACACAGTTGTCTATGTGATATGCTATGTGATATGCTTTTGAAACCATTAAAATCATTGAGGAGAAGACAGAAGGAAGATAATATTTCCCAGACAATCTCAGGAAGATGCAGGCTAAGTGAAGCATATTGATGATAACTTGGTATAGCTGTGATCAACAGCCAAATAAGGTGTTAATAAATCTCCTCATAGAAAAGCAACATATTATCTAGATAGCAAAAGTGGCAACTGAAGATAAGAGTAGAGAGAATCAGCTAGAAGAATCCATGTGTAGGATGGTCATATGTTACAGTGTGTTCATAACAATCTTGGTTTTATACTCATTCTCCCAGTGTAATTAATAATGCCCTGTTTACTGTCAAAAATCTCTCAATTTAGTTTATAAATTACATAGGCCACATTGATGAGCTACACTTGTGATATGCATCAAGTGATCTGATTCTGGGTATCCAATGTTCTCTTGTCTTGTTGAAAATTCTAGCTGTGTATTTGAACAGGGGAGGTATTCATGGGGGAAAATGCAGCATTTCCAGAGAAGGCAGAGGGATGAAAAAAATATATAACTCAAATAGTGGTCTTTAACATGTAAATATCCCTTTCAAGACAAAGAAAAATTGCCAAATGAGAGATTTTGTTTACTTCTGTCCAAGCTCAAAACATAGAATCTCTTGTAAACAAGATTTTACAGGCCACTTTTGAACCTGGTGACTTTCTTCTCTGTTAACATAAGTGTAATGAGTATCAAACTGGAATGCTTTTTGACATTGTGATCTGATGTGATTTGCAAAATGAGTTTCATAGAGAAGGATGGACAACTAATTCTGCTCTCTGCTACTTCTAGCTCAAAATTCTCAGTCCTGGGCAAGGAATAGAGGGAGAGGAAATATTTTCCTGCCTATGCTAACTCAGCTGGCCTCCTAAATGTCTCTGGACATGCATGACAATCCGTCACTCCTGTATGCTGTCCAGTTTTTCCTGCAGAAGGTCATTGCCTTTGACACTGTCCCATAGCTCTTCATCAGGCCTTATTCTGGTGAGGGCTGGAGCCAAGGAGAACACAGTTGAGCACTGGCCTCTGGCTTCCATTCTGGGCCTGGCAAGGCTACTTCAGAATGGAGAAACAGACAGCAACCAAGCCACGAGCATTTGTTCCAGTCAGCTCTCTTGCCAGTCTGGGAACTGGTCCTTATTTGAACACCTGAGACCCTTTTCTTCATCTCTTTGGTTTGGTGGTTTAGAAAATTATTTCCACTGTCAGGTATAGGTAATATGGCTAACCCCATAAAAAATACAGAACAATGATTATAAGAGATCCTGATCTGTAATAATGAATGAAAATTCAAAAATAGAGAATATTCCCGACAATATTTCACCAAGTAGGACCTTGTAGTTAGTGACACTTCTTACAAATAATCTTCCAACCCTAAAATTACCCAATAAACCCATCATGTAGGTAACATTTCTACAGAGACAAGGAGAGACCAAATATTGAGCTTTGAATAAAACATACTGATGAGGAAAGTCAAAAGGAGAATATTGGACATTGATACATACATTCTTTATCTATAAAAACATGTCTCACTCTTTACATTCACTAATCATTGGGGATTGATTGATTAGCTGTTGTGCTGTTGACGTTTTTGCTGTTCCATTTTTTATTTCAAAATCATACATTTTTAAAATATTATTTAAAAGTCATTTTCTATTAGAATCACAAACCTTTTTCTTGTATCAAAAGTTGTGCCACAATCCTGGTTACTTTTGGATTCACCAAACAGTCTAGCAGTCATCTGTAGAAATGAATGCTTGAGAGGGGGCTGTAGTACTATTTGAATCAATTTGTTCCACAATTGCATTATCACTGTTACTCATCACTTGTTGCCTCTTGGCACAATGCAATTTTCAGAAGTGTTGTTGACAAAGTCTTTACCACCACTTTCAAAGATGCCTCCTGTTTCTGAAGGTGACTCTTCAGACCTCTGTGTTACGGGGACCAGATCCAGGAAGCTCAAAGACATATGGTTATGCTGAGCCCAGAACAGGTTTTGTTTGTTCCTAGACACTGATGGCTATTTGCTGTTTGTTACCCTACGGTCTCTTCCATTCACAATTCACCTTCTACTAAAGTTTTATTTGAGTGACAGACCCTGGAAGATGAAAAGATTCCAGATTTTAAAGCATTAATTTGTGAGGAATCTGGACGACAGAAAGACCAGCTCCATCCCAGACCTTATGGCAGGCACAATTTTCATTCTTTTTATATCTCATCATTGAGGACCTATTTGAAATCTTATTCAAAACTGTTTTCCAGCATCTCTCTCTAACACCTGTCCAGATGCTAACAAAGCAGTAGAACCAGGTCAAATCGATGGTTTTTTTCTCTGCCCTTCACACAATAAATGCCTCAGGTATCTGTCTAGTGTTTGATATTAAAAATCCCTGACCCCATCATATCCATTGATATATACTACCAATATTTTGAGCTGCTAGCATATTTGCCTGTTACGTCAAGGCATCTGAAAGTTTAAAGCTTGGCAAAGCAATGTTTTTCTTTTTCTTCTTCTATAATCCTAGGGTAAACATTAAGCAGACAGCATTTCTGCTTTGAGCATTAAAGGAAAAAAAAAGACTGAATTTGAAAAGCCTTCTAGTACACTTTGGGGATTTCGGAAAGTGTCGTTTGGCTGGGAGCTGAGTGGAGAAGCTGCCATTCTGTAGATGGGATAGGAGGAAAGCCGCATGGCCTCATTCATAACTTCACAGCTACTGCAAATATCAGCTGATGAATATTTATGTTTTCCCTGGCTTAGGCCCGAAAGGCAAACAAGGGAAAAAAAAACGAAAGTTAGGAAAAGGTCGTCTGAACTCTGTGGGATTTTTTACCAGCACTTTCCATGCGCGAGCCGTAGCCCTGAATGAAGTCATTCTGTACAGGGGCCCGGCACAGGAAAACACAGTCTGTTCATTAGCTCCCCGCACTTTGTTTGAACCTTGTACATTCATGGGGTCCTGAAAGGGAAACTCCTTTTTAAAAAAATCAAACACACAGGATATAGAGCTACCTTATTATTATTTTGGTAAATTATTGCAAATTGCTCCTCATCATATAGTGACCTCAGTGGTTCATTGAAAGAGCAAGTCAGTGAAGGAGAGTTTAAAAAAAATTATATATTTTTTAAAGAGGGCCATTCCAGTTCAGGTTAATATTTTACAGAGTTACAGTTTCTAAACATATTTTAAAGTCTATATAAATAATATCAATACATTACTACATATCGTAGTAGAGCAAATTATTTTTTAAAAATGTACTCTAGATTTTAGTCTTATTTCAGGAAAAATAGCCTTTAAGCCCCACTGTAGAAGAAATAATCACGTCTTGATCACTTGGGTTTATTATTTAAATTCTGTTTTCCTCCTTTTACTTTTTCTTGGCCCATCAGTACTGCTTTCACCCTCTGCTGCCATCACTGCCACAGCTAGGTTGACCTGAGGCTATGGAAACAACACAAAAACAATTAACAAGATGAGGGATTTTTCTACTTGCCAATATTTCCATTATCAGTTTTGTTTCAGGAGAGGAGGCTCAAAAATTTGGCTGAAGTGAAATTTGTGACTGCCTTATGGATTTCAGTGGTAGATACATCATGCAATTTTCTAACATTCATAGAGAGGCAGGTGTCCTCAGTGGGGATCCCCAGAAATGTTCCCCTGTGATGAGAATGGGTGCCTAAGACTCATGAAGGAAGTACTTCCAGCAGACATGGGGAGGTGAGAGGGAGGAAACCAGACACAGAATGGAAGATGACAAGCAAAGGAAATGCCCAGCCTCAGCTGGGTCCTGCAAGGAGCTCTGCGGTATAGTTTTACCCAAAAGTTCGTTCCCATTTGAGGGTAAGGGCTGTCCATTTTTGGAGTTTGGTGTGGGGGGTGCACTGGGTGACCAGCTGTCCTGGTTTGCCTGGCACCATCCTGCTTTCACACTAAATTATCTTGAGATATCTTTTAGTCTTAAGCAAACTGGAATTGTTGGTCATCCTTGAAGCCTGTAAATTCCCAGGTACTTCTGACTCCCTGGGCAGCAAAGTGGCTCCAGTTGCCCAAGATCAGTCTTCTGAATGGAGTCACAGGTGCAAGCCATGTGAAACAAAGTCCACTAAAGCTTGTGGATGGGCATACAGACATGACAAGAGCCTCTGAATGGAGCTCAGCCATCTTCCCTGTAGCAGGTACTATCCTCTACCCAGTTTTCTAAGAAACAACATGGGGTCGATGGAGACTATTGTAGATGTGGGATTGAGGGCAGGAGTTGCAGATGAGGAATGCATTTCATTCTGTACGTCAAGTTCTTAGTCCTAGTGGGACTTAAGGACTATGATATGTAGGTTCAGGACTAGTCAAGATTTCCAAGCAGATTTATAGAGGGCATTAGCACTGAATTAAGTTGGCTACGAATCTGTAAGTGTGAAATTCACAGAGTGGACTTGAACAAAATCTCTGTAGTTATCAAGTGGGTAGGAGGTAATGAAGCAATTGCCCATCAGTGAGTCTCTCTCAACATGCTGCTTCTCTGGCCACTATGAGGTTCAGTTTTGGAAGTGCATGACATATATGTAATGAAAATTGAGGACATGGCGAATGTAGCTTCAAAGAGGATATAATGAAAATGAGAGTGAACATTCCCTAGCCCTGCCCAAGACAGGTGGAATCCCACATTTCTTTTGATTTAACTTCTAAGAGTTAACAATAACTACCCAAAATAAATAGCGAATATTAGTCAAAATTTACCTTTTTCTTGTCCTCTGTTCTTGCCTTCTAAACATAAGGGTGAGATTTTTTTTTGTTGTGTTTCTCTCTTGGCTTATAAATATAAAATACAGTGAGTGAGAAGTTGGTCCATTGACTAGCTTGGGCAGACATACTTGGTAATAGTTGCATGTATTTAACTTTGTGTGTTGGCAGTGATAACAACCTCAAGTTTCATGCTTGCTTCTTGCATTGTTTTGCCCAGTTTTTCAAGTTCCTTATGGAGCAGCTCACGTAGAGGATTTATTGTAGGAGTGCTTTCTTCTGCCCAAAGCAATACATTATCCACATGAAAGGATATCTCACACAGCCCCATGCTGCATTACTGCAGAGGAGAAACGAGGACCTGAAGAAATTGTTTCTAGCTAAATAGCTGTAGAAGAATTGCCCAAACAGTAAACATAGTACCCAGTAGGTAGTATTTCAATTCTTTTCTCCCCTTTTTCCCTCCTCCCTTTTGGAATCTCCCGTGTTTATTGTTCTCATCTTTGTATCTCTGTGTGCACAATATTTAGCACCCACTTAAAAGTGAGAACTTGCAGTATTTGGTTTTCTGTTTCTGTGTTAATTCACTTAGGATAACGGCCTCCAGCTGCATCCATGTTGGTGCAAAGGACATGATTTTGTTCTTTTTTATGGCTGTGTAGTATTCCATGGCGTATATGTACCACACATTTTCTTTGTCCAATCCACCACTGATGGGCATCTCGGGTGATTCCATGTCTTTGCTATGGTGAATAGAGATGTGATGAACATACAAGTGTAGGTGCCTTTTTGGTAGAAGAATTTATTTTCTTTTGAGTGTGTACCCAGTAATGAGATTGCTAGGTCAAGTAGCAATTCTATTTTTCATTCTTTCAGAAATCTCCAAGCTGCTTTCCACAGTGGATAAACTAATTTGCATTTCCACCAAAGTATATAAGCATTCTCTTTTCTCTGCAACCTTGCCAACATCTGTTATTTTTTGACTTTTTGATAATAGCCATTCTGATTGTTTTGAGGTGGTATCCCATAGTGGTTTTGATTTTCATCCTTCCGATGATTAGTGATGGTGAACATTTTTTTCATGTTTCTTGACCACTTGCATGTCTTCTTTTGAGAAGTGTCTATTCGTGGCATTAACTCACTTTTTAATGGGATTCTTTTTTCTTGTTGATGTGCCTTTTCCCCATTGTTTATTTTTGTCGAATTTGTTGAAGACCAGATCATTGTAGGTGTGAAGAATCTATTTCTGAATTACTTATTATAAATATTTTGGAAGGGCAAATACTGATGGTTGAAGACATACAAATTCACTAAAATTGAGAACGATAAAATTATGACTAGGCTATTAAAGTTATAGAGAGGTGAATTTATGGCATGGTAAAAGAATAATATTTATTGAAACACCATCTTAAAAATGGCACAGATC
This sequence comes from Homo sapiens, assembly GCF_000001405.40. NCBI lineage: Eukaryota > Metazoa > Chordata > Mammalia > Primates > Hominidae > Homo > Homo sapiens. Next base: position 7,863,114 of record NC_000020.11, on the reverse strand, counting down.
AAAAATATGGCTAGCTTTGCAACATTTTAGTTCTCATTTCATTACAGCTTTTGAGGTCTGAGGGAGAGCTTACCTAAGCAATTAAGCTACTGGTTAAGAAATTTTGTGTACATCTTAAGACTTTATATGACTGATGAGAGTTATTACTCAAGTACATAATACGAATGAGGATTTTGAATTGCAGCACATTGTAGGCAGTAAATAAAGACTTGCTGAATGAATGGATATTTTTTCTACCAATGATGAACTTCGATGCAAAGAAATGGCATGACTAAATGTTCAAGATATTTCTGTTGCAGGAAATTCATAAAAAGTAAGAGTAACTATCTATTTCTAAAACAACATCTATCAGAAATCAGTCTGGTCAGATTCTACCTTCAAATGTACAATGTCAGAACTAGAAAGGTTATGAAGACTAACACACTTTACTTTTTACCCTACTGACGACATTCTCTGAAAATTCAGTTTTCTTGAATGTCACTCTAATACCAAAGTATTTTCCCCAATTAAAGACCAAGTAATTATGTCATTTAGGGATAGCATTTTCTCTAGATAAAGTTTGGCCTCTCTGTTTTCACTTAACACCAAATGGATTACTTCAAATGGATAGCTACAGATCAATTAAATCAAGCTTTGAATTTTTAAAAAGTTTTACTGAATTTTTATATTTTCCAAGCATAATCTTCATCATGTGGCGAAGCTTTAATTACAAGATTACAGAAAGCCAAAGACTTCTAAGCCTTTAGGGCTTTGCTCATATTTTCTTCTCTTACTGCCCATTTTCCTCAATCAACCTGGTGAATGGATGGTTAGTGGACATAAACCAGGTTAATGCTTATGCCCTCATAATTGTTTTTTCTTACTGACCATGCTCTATACCCCTCCCTTTGGTGACCCTGCCTTCCTCTCTTGTGCTCCTGAAGCTTCCCATCATCATTCTGATACTATTGTGCCATAATTTCTGACTTTATGTATCTATATATCCTCCCTAGGATGGTGAGCTGTTTTAGGATAGTTCCTTTGTCTTTCGATTCACCACAATAACCTGAGTTTATTTTTAGCACAATACCTTACATAACAGACATATAGAAAATAATTGTTAAATAGGCAAATTTTAATAGTGGACTAGAGACCTTGGGAAGCAGCAAGGAAACCACTGATTAGATAAATATTAATGTGGCAAACTGGCTTTCATTGTTGTGAGGGTTCTTAACAGTTTTTCTCCCACTTCTCGCTGATTTACTATCACTCCTGGCATCATAAATTCAAGTCAATAAATGTTCTGCATATATGGGGCAACATTTGAACTCTTTGGAGCAGAGATGTCATGTAGGTTGTAGGAACAAATGTATGGCTCCATGAAGGTTGATAGGAATGTAAATTTTAAGCTGGAAAAGAAAGAGACAGCACTCAGAACTGTATATTCACTTATTTGTATTAGGTGAGCTACCAGAAAAAATTTTTAGAGGCATTTCATATGGATAAAAATTCATGTTAAAAGCATCTTCAAAGATTGCAACAAATGTACGCCCAATCCACTGTCCATATTTTTTGAGACAGGATCTTGCTCTGTCAGATAGCCTACAGTGCAGTAGAATGGTCATAGCTTCCTACAGCCTTGAACTACTGGGCTCTGGCAATCCTCCTGCTTCAGCATCCCAAGCAGCAGCTGGGACTACAAACATCAGCCACCAGGGCTGGAAAAATTGTATTTTTTGTAGAGATGGGGTCTCACTTTGTTCCCGAGGCTGGTCTCAAACTCCTGGCCTCAAGCGAATCTCCTGTCTTGGTTTCTTAAAGTGGTGAGATTATAGGCATGAGCCACTGTGCCTAGCCTTACTCTGTATAACAAATTTTGATTCTTAAAATATTCATAATGTAACCAACTATTCATATTGGACTAAAAACTTACCAATTAAGTTTCCATTATTTAAAAATATAGGATATTTGAGGCAGGAGTCACTATTCATTTTATTTTCTATATTTCCTTTTTTTTTTTTAGAACAAATTCACTTATATAAACAAATAGTGTATGAGGGTAGAATATACTTTTAATTCCATGCTTTTGAAAAATGTATTCCGGACTACAGACCATTTTAAACATTTTTTTTGATATCATCTACATACAGCAAAATTTACTCTTTCTGTTGTACAGCTCTGAGAATTTTTTCTGTGATCACACCTAAAGGAATTATAAATGCTCATACACAATTTTATATTGTTCTGTTTTGTTTCTTGAGACAGGGTTTCTCTCTGTTGCTCAGGCTGAAGTGCAGTGGTACGATTACAGCTCACTGCAGCCTTGGCCTTCTGGGCTCAAGTGATCCTCCAATCTCAGTGCCCCAAGTAGCTGGGACTACTGGTGCACACCACCACTTTCTATTTCTTAATTTTTTGTACAGATGGGGTCTTGCTATGTTTCCCAGGCTGGTCTCAAACTCTTGGGCTCAAATCCTCCTGCCTCAGCCTCTCAAAGTGCTGGGGTTACAAGTGTGAGCCACCACAGTTGGCCCAGAGTTTTTTTAAAAACATAAATTTTCCTCACTTTTGCGTAAATACCTAGAAGTAGGATTGCTGTGTCATATAGTAAATGTATATTTAGCTATATAAAGAAATTGTCAGACTTTTGTAAAGTGGTTGTGCCATTTTTTTTTATTATACTTTAAGTTCTGGGATACATGTGAAGAATGTGCAGGTTTGTTACACAGGTATACACGTATGATGGTGGTTTGCTTCACCCATCAACCCGTCATGTACATTAGGTATTTCTCTTAATGCTCTCCCTCCCCTAACCCGCCACCCCCCGACAGGCCCCAGTGTGTGATGTTTCCCGCCCTGTGTTCATGAGTTCTCATTGTTCAGCCCCTACTTATGAGTGAGAACATGAAGTGTTTGGTTTCCTGTTCTTGTGTTAGTTTGCTGAGAATGATGGTTTCCGTGCCCGGCTAAGGTTCTATAGTTTTTACTTGGGTTTATAATACATATTGAATTTTTATACAAGGTGTATAAAAATTTCACACAAGATGTGAACTATGAGTTGAGGTTACATAGTTTTTGCAAAATTGTTTCAACAAAGTTTGTTGTAAAGATTATCATTTCCCTATTGAATTGCCTTTGTACAAAGGTAGAAAAATAACAGACTCAACGTATGGGTCTATATCTGCACTCTCTAATCAGTTCCTTTGATATATGATGATTAATTTCTCAAATTCTACAGCAGGATAGCTCTTTTTTAAACCTCAAAAATGTGAAAATAATTTTCCTTATAAATAGGAGACCTGAGAGCCTTTTGTATCCTTGGCGAATTCAGCTAAACTTTCTGGGCTCTGTTTCTTTATCTGTGGAATGTGGAATTGCATTAACGGAAATCTGAAGTCCTGTTTTTTCTTTCTTTTCCTCTTCCCTTCTTTTCACTTTCCTCTTCCCCTCTTTTCACTTTCCTCTTCCCCTCTTTTCACTTTCCTCTTCCCCTCTTTTCACTTTCCTCTTCCCCTCTTTTCACTTTCCTCTTCCCCCCAGCCTTCTCAGCCCTTCTCATCCTTTCTCTCTACCTTCTTCCCCCACCCCCATATTCTTTCTCTGTCTGGTCAGTAGATGGTGCTGTGCTGCAAGACATGTATTTGCTGGTTTCTTAAAACTTTTAAATATCACATTATGTCATCTGTTAATTCTACGCCTTATGACTACACTTTGAGAGCTGATCCTTAAATTGTTAATGGAACAACGATGTTCACACCCCTCCCTCTTTGAGAAGCTAAACCCCAGGCATGAGTTGGCTACTTAAACTAGGTACACTTTTTCACTGGAAACTTTGTCAAGAGATAAAGGCCTTTGATTAAGAGGAAATATTTTTTAAAAGCAATAGTGGGTAGTGACCCTGAAAACCCCAAATGTCCTTCAGCCCCATGTGTGACATTTGAGTTGGTGTGTGTTTACCCAAGGGCAAAAAATGGATGGCCATGAAGGACATAGGATAGGAAGCCCCTTTGCTCAAAATAAAATCCCAAGGTTAATTTGTTTGTGAATCACAGAGCCAGCTGTCTGTCCTGGCCCAGTATGACTTTTGTGGTGACAGCTGTTTCTACCAAGATTTGACGAGTGGGAATGAGGGCAGAGCTGGTGGTTGCGAGATGGGATGGAAGTGGGAGATGGATTGCAAGTATGGACTCTGGTTTCTTTAAAAAGGAAACCCATGGGTTTTTACATATTCTCAATTGAACTTGTAGTTCCTTTAGTTGCGCATAATGCTTTTACTTCCCGGGAGAGAAGAGGTGGGTGTGCATGGTTAGTTGTTTCTTCATGTCCCCTTAGGTTACAGTTTAATGATGGGTGTTTCATTTTCCAAAAGTTTAGCAAACTGTGAAGGTTTCCATAAAGGGCACTATATTTGCTTGCAAAAATCCAGTCTTTATTCCTCTGGCCCCAAAACCCTGAGGTACTGTGGACTCAAGTTTCTTAGAGCCTGATTGTTAAAATACCAAATGAAAGGCACTTCTTGGGGTTTATGGCATCATCCTGGTATTTCCATGTATAAATAATAATAATGTTCATTTGATAGTGCTTTATGGTTTCGAAAAGTAATTTTACCAACATATGCAATTATGCCTTTGCTTAGAAAGTAGATATTTGAATTAGGGCATTGGAGGTCAAAGCCAGAGAAGATCAGTGAGGAAGAAACACGTAGGTTACTGATGACTTCTATCCTCATTTAGGTCTCCAATTGGGTGTTTCAAATTAACACAATTGAGCTTCTACATCCATCCCCTAGCCACTCAATTTCCTATCTCCTCCATCTGGATACATGAAAATACCATCCTTTTATTTGCTCAGCCCCCAAGCTTTGGAGTTGTCTTTGATTCTCCTCTTTCTTATTCTACACCTGAGCTACAAGCAAAACCTGTTGGAATTACCTTTAAAATACAGTGTATTCAGAATCCGAAAACTTCTCACCACCTCCATTGGTACACCCTGGTCTGATCCACTATCATCACTTACATGAATTAGGACAAAAGTTTTCTAATAGATTCCCCTGCATCAGCCCCTGTCCACACTTTAATTTAGGCACAGCAGCAATAGAAATGCTGTTAATAGGTAAATTGGACCTTGTCAAGTCTTGGCCCAGAACCCTTTAAAGGCTTTTCGTCTCACATTGAGGAAGTGCAAAGACATTACAGTGGCCTACGCAGTCCTGTGTGATGTGACCTCTTCTATACTTTGGGATCCTATTTCCTATCACTGACCCTCTCTTACTCACTCCTGTTCTCCTGACTCCTTCTCAGATGTTCCAGGGGTGCTCCTCTCTTAGGATCTATTTACTTGTTCTTTATCTTTGAATGCTCCTCCCCCAAATATGATTCTCACTCTCATATCCTTCAGATCTTGAATCAATGTCACCTTCTTACTGTGGCCTTCCCTGGCTGCTTAACTTAAAATTGGACCCTCTCTCACATTTTCTGATCCTTTCCTAGCTTAATTTTTTCTTCAGCACTTATTACAAACATAATCTGCACTTAATTTGTCTTGCTTAACTTTCTGGAATATAAATTTCATGTGGGCAGGGATTCTTGTCTATTTTATTCATTACTCTACTTCCAAAGCCCAGAGGAGTGCTTGACACAAAAGGAACACTCAATAACTATGACTAAATACATAAATGAATGTATTCTCCACCTTGTTTTCATGGTATGTGTGAGGCTTTGCAAGTACCAACCACCAAAGAAAAAGACTAATGCTTGATTAGATTCTTGGAGAGTAAAACTCAATGCTCCACCATCACTTTGTGAAAAGTAACAGTTTCATGGTCTAAATTATAGATTCTGACTCAGTAGGTCTGGGAGTCCATATTTATGTATTCCTCAAGAAATTTTAAATCTTAACCAGATCTGGGGGCCCGTTTGTCTAGAGAACAGTTTACCTTTAACTCAACAAATATTTATTGGATATATTCTATATTCCAGAAATTATGCCAGGAAATGGCCCTGCACTGAAGTCTGGTAGGAGAGACAGATGTGTAAAATTACACTTGCCATGTAGTATAATAAGTGCTTTCCTAAGGCATTTATTAATTGCAGGGGTTGTGAAAGACGAAAGAAGAAATCATCTGAAATGGATCTGAAGAGTTCTCAGAGGAAGTGACTCATGTTGAAGAGGAAGTGACAAAGCAGGTAAGGAATATAGGGCACTGTAGTTAGGAAAACATCTTGGCCTCTGAGTTCAAGACGATTGCCAGGTTCCTGAGTCATGCCTTATACCAATGAAGGGGGCAAAGTTAGACAGCCATCTATTTTTGCAAGAAGTTCCTATCTCTTTTTATAGCCCTCTCTTCCAGGTGTCTAGGACTTTAACTGTCTTGAGAGAATAAAAATACATTTCTGGCTTATTTATCTGGTTCTCCTTTAAAAAGAGTATAATGAGATCCTTTCTAATACTGAGTAGCTAATGATTTTCTGGGGTGTTCACATTTCAACAACAAGGCAGCCTTTAATAATAAAAAACAATTAGGCAGGTATCAGTGACAAGCCAGCAAGCAGATATTCTTTTCGGCTGGAATCTTCAATTTTCCTTGAGTCATATCACATGGGAAGGACCTTAAGGTTGGTGCTAGAATTGGTCTGCAGTAATTCTCTGCCAATTCATCACAATGCTGGGGGAAATGATAACCACTCTTGTCTCTTCCAAGCTTTGCTATAGGTCTTAGACCAATGCCTTTGTTTTTCCGTGCTGCAATTACTCAATTTTTAAATATCATATTTGTGTAGAGCATTGTACTCTGTTCATTTATATTAGTCAAGGAAAGTAGTGTTTGCTGCTATGACACACAGTCCCCAGGTCTCAGTACCTCAACACAATAAAGTTTTATTTTTTTGCTTGTATCATGTTCCAATGTGAATTCCAAGAAAATGGGGATGGGTCTGTTGTTTGGACAGGAGCCTCTGCTTTGTGCATCCATTCAGAGATAAAATTATTTTCATAATGGGGCTCTGCAAGATCCAGTCGTGCTTCAAAAACTGGCCTGACATCTTCCAGATAGCAGATGAGGAGCAAATGAAACAGGACCTCACTTTAACATGCCTTAAACCAAGAGTCAGCTAATTTTTTCCGTAAAGAATAGTACATATCTCAGGCTCTGAGAGCCACCCAATCTCTGTTAAAAACTACACAGTTCTGCTGATATAGTGTGAAAGGAGCCTTAGACAATATGTAAATGAGTAGGGTGGCTATGTTCCAATGAAACTTTATTTACAAAGACAGGTGATTGGCCACATTTGCCCTGTAGGCTATAGTTTGCAGACCCCTGCATTATACCAAAAGGTATGTCTTCCATTCACATTCCATTGGCAAAAAACAGTCATATGTCCCCACCCAGATGCAGAATGTCAGGGGAATGTACTTTGGCTGTGTGCCAAGAAACTGGTGAGAATTTAGCCAGTCTCTGATGCATCATATATTAGGGGTAGGATGTTCATTGATTATTTCCCAGTTGGTGGACGCACTGTTCTCTACTTCCAACTTGTTCAAGGTCAAAAATTTTCCTTTAGAAGACATGATCTCACAAGTTTTCTAAGCTTCTTTATCCTTTATTCTGGGGAACAATGAGGATGGTTTGCTGAAAGTGGTCGTGAAAGATCCTATGTAGACCAGGTGGGAGAGTTTGCTCCCAGGAAAAAAATAAGTATTACCTCAAGTAGGTGATTGAAGTACAACATGCTATCCACTGGTAACAAGTAATCATAACTGGATGGCAAGGATAAGAATCACTCTGTGTTAACTCCACTTTCAAATTCAGCCAGGAGCTAAAGCTCTTCTATGTATTGGTTTCCTTTTTGTCTTCTTCCAAAGTCCCTGGAGATGGATGAAAACTTTGCTCTGCAAGTATGCATTCAAAAATCTAATTATACCAGCAGTAATTGAGTATGTGGTAATCTGATTCCTTGCATCTCTAAAGGCCTCCTACTTGATCTACTGTGAACTCAGAAATAAAGGGTTCTAACAATAGCCCTGTAAATTAAGCAGAGCAAACATTTGGCTAAAAATAAGGTGAGGGAAGGCTTACTATATAGGAGTTACAAATATCTCACAATCCTTGTTCTCAAACTCTCACACTTTACAATTGTTTGACAGATTGAGTGCAAGCAGTCATGCCTTCAATACTCCATGGCTCCCCTTGCATCTGGCTGGCCTAGTTACTTGTTTTGGCCAATAACATGGTAGATGTGATGGTGGAGGCTTGCATGCTCCACATTCTCTTTAAACTCTTCTGCTCCCATGTGCGAAAGCCTGGGCTAGCCAGGTGGGAGATGACAGAGAACATGGAGTAGAGATCAGCTGTCCCAGTTGAAGCCTTCCTAGTCTAGCCAGACTGGCAATGTGGCCTCCAGATGTTTGGACAGCTCAACAGAAACATGGACCAGATCAGAAGGGCTACCTAGGTGACCTGCAGATTTGGGGGTTGTTACTCAGCAATAGCTAACTGATAGTGTGTCAATTATGTATGCTTTTAGTTTTAAGAAAAGACTTGCTCACAGGGGTTGGAAAGCAGGGACTTATTTGTCTTTATAATAGGAAGAATAAAATTAGGTACAGGGCTGGTTCAGTGCTTCAACATGACATAAATGAGTCTACTGATCATATCTTCCACAACTTAGTTTGCTGGATTTCATTCTGTCATTGGTAGCAACATGGTTGCCAGATGGCTGATTTATCTCCAAAATTATAATGGTGTTCAAGGTGGTTTGAAGAAACAAGGAAAAATGGGAAAAGAATGTGATGGCTGTTCCTTTTAACCAGAGAAGTAAAAGGTCTTCTTGAATCCCCATTTCAAAAGATTTCTGATTATGTGTCATTGGGCTAAGCCATGCTATATGCCTGGAAGGTGTCTGGGAAGGAGGAAGTTGTATCTGCCGCAAGAAATCAACAGACAGATGATTGGTAGGCTACGTTTCCAGAGGATGATTTTTCAGAGAAAGTCTCACAGAGGTGGTAACTTTCGGTATGACAAAGGGCTTCTCGGGTAGACAAGATGGAAAAGGGCATTCTGCTAGAGAGAGCTGCATATTCCAAAGTACAGAGCAATGAAGGAACATACCTATATGAGAGCTTCAAATCTATAACTGAGGCTCAGAAAAGGGCAATTACTCACCAAAGGTAATTAAACTAGAGATTGAGCGAGCAGGGTCCATCTTTAGATTGTAGTCCAGGGTGTTACCACACCTGGCAAAAGTAGAATCAGTTCTTAGGACCTCAGAGTTTCTTGTTCATGTCCCCTTCATGGCCCTTATCACACTGAAATAGAGGCATCTTTTTACTAAAAAGTAGATCTAGAGGTCACATTATTAGTTGGCAAAATCATGTATATTACTCAACCTTTTGGCCTTAGTTTTTCCCAAAGTACTGCTAAAGACATCACTCAGTTACTCAGAAAAATCACCTCTGATTCACCCTGTTTATAGACATGAGGTTTTGAGATCTATTCATTTCACATCAATAATCCCTCACATTCATCCTATTGGTACCAGCCAGTATAAACCTCTATTACCTCTCAAATATCTAGTGTAATAAACTAAATATCTACCTATTTCCTCTGGCCCCACAAATCCAGCCTGCATTTGAATTTTGTGTGGCTCTTTCCAAAGCTCACTTCAGCCAGGCATGATTGGGTTCAATCCTCTGTCTCCCACTGCCTCTCTAAGTACAAATTTCTGAAAGTCACTCCAGAAATTTTTATCACTTTACCTGGAGACAGACCTCCCAACTTCAGGTTTGTCTGGGAGAGTCCCAGATGGAGGCTCTTGTCCTGGTGCCCAGTCAGGTTTAGCATTTGTTCTCACCCCTGTCACTCTCAAAACTTAACCAGCTGGGATGCAAAATTACATGACACTTTTAACTATTTCTTTTTTTATAGGCTTTATTATTCTCTGAAAGTACTGAGTTATTTATTCGAGGCACTTACACCGAACAGTCTTCTCAATGCCTGAGTTTCCCTCTTATAAGATTTAAGTGAAAATGAAAAATGCGTGTTTGCATGTGGAAAGAAGAGGGTGAGAGGTGTGAACCGGCAAGCAGGAAACAATTTTAAACTTTTACTCAACTGATGGAGACAGTGCACCAACAATTCTTATTTAAACATTGTGACTGCTTGGATGTTTTTCATTTTTATTTCATAATGTTGCTTCTACTAGTAGATGTAAAGAAAGGCATTGTTTTTCTTGGTCAAAGGAAGAATGATGATTTGCTCACTTCTTTGTGGGGGTTGAAGAATATAAACTGACAGACGTGATGAGAAAAGAGGATCAGTTCTCTTGTCCTTTTGTGTGGGAGGTGCGGGCTTGCTCTGCAAATTCATCTGGGAGATTTTTACTTGCAGGAACTTCCAGTCATCTGCAGTTTTCCATATCTGGAGAGAATCTGCTAGAACATCTATCTGTCTCAAGTCATGGGGCATGAGATGAAGGGCATCCAAGGACAAGAGTGTCACGGACTCTGAGTTGTTAGAACCCTGAGTATTTCTCCCCAAGGATGTCCTTTGCTACTCGTGGTACCTGGAGTCTTAATAACCCTCACCAATTTCCTCAGCAATACTGTGGATCACGGAAGGCTAACTATGGTTTACCATCATGCAAAGTACCAAATGCATTCCCAGTTCCAATCAGCAGACTTACACGCAAACCTGAGTAGTGTCTATGCCAGCACTGCTGTGAGAGAACTCTAGACAAAGATGGTCTAGGTCCCAAAGGCAGTCTACCTTTGCAGAGGAGGTGCACTTTCCACCTGCGAATAAGCTGGAGGCAGTTGCAATTATTACCATAGGACGAATTTGAAAAATGACCAGGAAGAGTCAGAATCATACCTGGTGTACTGGAAGTCATCCTAGATTAGAAAATTAAGTTTGAATATGAATTTAGTGCTTTCCTCAGCAGAGAAAACCAGAAATAAATAAGTTGTTGCTTGCTATCTGCTAAGAAATCATTGTTTTTTTCCTGCTTCTGGCCTCTTTTCTTTTTCTGATTCATTTATATTTTTGAAAGGGAAATAACTCAGTACATCCAGAAAACAGATACACAGGAAAGGGGATTTACCAAAGGTAACAGATGTTTTTGTACTTTTGAAGAGGTGTAAGGTTGAATCATGCCTTTTAAAACTAGAGATATGCACAGATTACCACCCTGTGGGGGTTATAGGCACTTGGGGGCTTCTTGTCAATTTAATATTTTTTTGAAGTATAATATCTCAGCAGTGAAAGGAAACAGAAGCAGCTAATTCTGAACCTAGAGGTTCTTTCCTGACCCCTTGGTACCTAGGCACAAGAGGGTGAGTTCAGGACTGAGTTAAATTCTAACTCCCTATTTCCTGTCTTTTGTTAGTTTTAATCAGACACTTAAACACACTTCAATGTGGACCTTTGTGTGGGAATGCCTTTGATTTTTTTTTCCACTCCCAAGGAATGCCAGCTAAGAGAGGGAGAAAAATAGGATAAAGTTTTAATCATATGTAATATGTATCTTAAGAAATGATGTAGTGCTTTAAAAAAAAAAACACCAAAGTGCTAGACTGGTGACCTTGCAGTGCCCTTCTCTTAGAGTTAGAGATAATCTAAACTTCAGTCTTAGAGAAAGTTGTATTCCCAGTCCTCTGAAGCATGCTTGTGTCTATGAGCAACTCCCACCACACAGGTAATGAGCCACATGGCTCCTGGGTCCATATCCTGTCTTTGTGAATGGAGGCTGAAGCTGTGGTCCGTGGGTTTGGAAAAGTGAGAGCTGTATCGTAAATGCTTCCCTTGAGTTAGCTGACCTAGTTACCTGGTCAGTCATTTCAATGGATCATCGGTTGAGTGTGACTAATGGGCCATTAGATTTGAAACGTTTTTGCTTAATGCCGTCTGTTCAGCTGCCTTCATTGGGAAAGTTCCTATTTCCACTCAAATAAGTGGAAGGGGGATGTCTGGCAGGGGGATGATACATAGGCTTTAGTTAAGGAAAATGATGGAAAAGCAAATAACAGGCAAGGATGAGTAAGAGTGATTAAAAGAGTTAAGCAATAGAGTTAACACTGTGCCCTCATGACCACATGTTTAATAGAGTGTGATACATACTTGTGATGGAGAAACCTATAAACTTATAATTACTTTATGGAAAACATACTGACTACAATGTATCAGTTACATTTTAACATATACATATGCACATATTTATTTGTAGATATATATGTAGGGTGTGCATGTGTGAGTGTGTGTATGTAAACGTGGCAACCATTTGCTTTAAAGGGCCCTATTACATTATTCTGTTCGTGTTCTAATTTAGTATTATGATTTTAACAGATACATTAATTTCACTTCCACATTGCCTTACAGCTATTGTGTTAAGTTTAATAGAAAACATTCTCTATATTCTATTAACACACAGTCAACCTATGCTATTTGGTAGTTTATGCACAGACATATTCAATAAAAATGTTCTATTACAGTGTTAAAGCATAATTTTCAAAAATAGTAAAATCATGACTCTCATCCAAATGTGAAATGAATGCATGTCAAAGATTTTATTTGACTCATTAATAAATGAGATAAATGAGGGGACCAGTAAGATCTTTTTTTTTTTTTTTTTTTTTTGAGAAGGAGTTTTGCTCTTGTTGCCCAGGCTGGAGTACAATGGCACGATCTTGGCTCACTGTAACCTCTGCCTCCCAGGTTAAGAATTCTCCTGCCTCATCCTCCCAAGTAGCTGGGATTACAGGGGTGCACCACGACGCCAGGCTAATTTTTTGTATTTTTAGTAGAGATGGGGGTTTCACTATGGCCAGGCTGGTCTTGAACTCCTGACCTCAGGTGATCTGCCCGCCTCAGCCTCCCAGGGTGCTGGGATTATAGGCTTAAGCCACCGTGCCCGGCCATGGGGACCAGTAAGATCTTGACTGGTTCAAATGAAAATCTGACTTGCAGGGATTTGTGTAATTCATTTGCATTGCTATGGGCAGGAATCATTCACATTGCTATTCATTTTCTACAACTTAACAGTCACCCCTAAATAATTTAAAAATCGCCAAGAAATTTTTATGTCACTTTCAAGACTTGAGTGCATTTTCTAGAAAATAGTTTCTATTGCCTTCTTCATTAATTCAAGTACTTTTGAGGATAAACTTATGAGTATACATGGGAGACTGGTATATATACATGCTGGTAAACATGAGAAGGTGCTTGTTCCTTAGGAGCTCAATATTTACAAAGAGAGAGGGATTCACTGAGACAACCACAGTTTATTTGATATATGCCAATAGAATCTTAATGAATCATTCTCTTATGAAGAGGCATGCGTGGCTCTACAGAAGAAATATTGTTTGAAGAGCGTCTCACTGGTTGAGACAGCAAGGCAAAAGGGGTGATGGTTAGGGGGTTGAAAGGCAGACTTTTCATTCTACCTAGAGAGAATAGAATACCAAAAGCCTCAAGGGTATAAAAAAGCAAGGCATTCTGCACAGATCAACAAAACTCCAGGGCACTATGAAGGGTCATGGCTGAGAGGTGAAGTTCTGAGATAGGAAAGGCAAACTTAACCGAAAAACCACATTGCCCTAAAGGAGGTGGAGGACTAGTGAATTTTAAGCAGGAGTGAGCTGACAACTTCCATATTTAGATTCACACTACAAAATAATGTAAATTTGTATCAGGAAAACTGGTTAAAAACATTATTACAATATACCAGAAGAGAGGATCATTACTCTGCCCCAACAGTCTAACACTTTGAGGGGCAGAATTACGTTTGTTTCTGGAGAAGGGGCTTTTCCTTCCTTTTTGCCTCATTTCTTTGCCGTTACTCTTCCCCGCTCTGCCCTCCTTTCATTTGTCACTTCCTTTTTCCATCCTTTCACTCATTTCTCCCTCCCTCCTTTCTCTCTCTTTGTGACCCCATTTCCACTAAGTTTAGTGGCCTAGGAAGCACCTGTTGCCTGTTTAAATTACTGAGATCCCTCATGTAGAATCAGAGTGATCCTGGGTGGTTCTCTGATTCTCAAGACAGTCCTGGATGAACAATAATACATTCTTACACTCTCTTATTTTAAAGTCAGTTGCTAAAGCACCATGACATCATCCTAAGCAAGGTAAAATACAACTGCAGAGTTTACTGCTTTATAATTATAACATGCCATCCAATTTTCCTGAGCCCTCTTTGAACTGGAAACCCTTTGCTCTAACGACAAGGCATTTGCAGGTCAACTCCCAGAATGGACTATTTCCACAAATGGCTAATTTAGTCTATTTGTCTTGACTTGTGCTAATTTCCTTCCAGGGGATATAATTTTTCTGACCATATTAATTTTTTTCTTTTTAGGTGGTAGTGGCGGGGAAAGATGAAGGAGAGAACTACAACGGTATTCCTAAGTGACGTCCAATAGCCTAAATTTATCACAGTTCCATCAGAACACCCAACTCATTCACTGAGAGGGATTTTATCCAAGTGTCTGCCTACATTTAACCCAGTTAAGACAATTCACATTCAAGTGTGATCAATAACAAATCCATCTAAGCTTGACCTTCTTTTCAAAGTAGGAGATTATTAACCAGCAAAAGTTTCAAGCTGAGTAAATTTGGAGTATGATGTAGAAGGAGAACACATAAGGCAACTTCACAGGAAGATGTTTGATCATTTAGTATCTACTGCATTTAAAAATAAGATCATTATTTTTTAAGACAAGAACATTATCAACAAGATCAATTCTAGGCTGGTCTAAAGCAATGATCTCACGGTAGCTGTAAAATAGTTGGCTGTGTCCTATCTACTCTAGGGTCAGTTTGTGTGTCTGTGAAATAAGGGGGCTGGACCAGGATAGGGACAAACATGAGCTGTGAAAAATCAGAAAGCTATCATCGTGTTATTCCTTTTCAAATATGACAGTAAGCACACACACACACACACACACACACACACACACACACACACTAAACCTAGCTGAAAAATGTATGCAAGTAATACATGCTCACGGTGTAAAAATGAACACCCCAAATCAGACTAAACTCCAAACTGGAAACCCTTTGCTCCAACGACAACCCTTTGCTCCAGACCATAACAACACAACATCCAATCATACACGTTGTTATGAAGTAACAGCAGAAGTTGCCTTCTACACCATTAGGACACCTAGTTCATTTCTCAAAGATAATTAAGATTAATTTCTTGCATATCTTTCCGAAAATGTTCTTAGGGCATTGTGTTAGTTAAGGTTCTCTGGGTTTCAGGCCACAAAAAATAAACTCTGGCTGACTTAAGCCACAAAAAAGAATTTACTGGAATGATGTCGGGGTATTTTGCGGAATCAAGGGAGGATTAAACCCCTTAGCCTTTGGAAAGAGTAGTCTAAAGGAAAGTTATGAGACACCCCAGCACCATGTGTCAGACAATTGCCATTAATGTGACTTCGCTACAAAGAATCCCAGCCTCGGTATTTCTGTTTTAAATTTTAAATAAGACTGGCCAAGCTAGGTTGGACCTGTGAGATGTAGTATAGCTGGATGTCTGGGGGTGAGGAGGTTAGAAGATGGTCAAATCTCATAGTGTAGAAAGTTGGGGAAACTTTCTGGACAGGGTGAAAGGGCACTTGCAAGATAGCCATCTCCATTTGCTCAGAAACAAAGCACGTATCTACACTGTATGTGTTTGAATCTGAATCTGCTATCTTTCACTTTTCAATTATCTCTGAAGTCAGGAATGCATTTTATGATTGACTCTGTCTTAGCTTTAACTAATAGTTTCTACAGACCACTTTTTCTTTCTCTGTGGCTTACAAGGTAGTGAAATTTCTCCAGCTTAGCATTCCAGTAACTTCCACACAGGTGGGAAAAATAGTTTGTTCCCTAGTCAGGTGTTCCTTACAGACATGTTAGAATTGTACACCTGGTGCTATTTTTTAGGAATTCCTAAATTGAAAACTGGAGGCTGAAATCACCTTCATAGAAAAGCCTTTTAGCTGTTACAATTAAATTAAACATTATATAAACACTATAGAGCTTATTTGAGGAGCAAAGTACAATGCTGGGTGCTGTGTGTTAGAATAAAATGAAGACATTGGAATTGCCTCCAGATAATTATAAATTGACACCATGCTTTTGGACTTCTAGCCTTCAGAACTGTGAAAGAATGAAATTTTGTTGTTTCTGGAAATTTGTGACAGCAGCCCTCAGAAACTAACACACCCAAGAAGAGGTCGCTCTCCCTGAGCGAGGCTGTACACTGTGATGAAAGCACAAAACATAGTGAAGGTTATGGGATTTTCTTTGAGATCTGGTTTTGGTGGAAGAAGGGTTGGTGGAAGAAGGGCTGTTATGTATCTGAAGCTGTGGATCTTTAGCAATTTAGTTCAAATATAGCCTGAGTTTCTGTTAAATCCACAGCTGGTGGGAATTTTCCTTCTGGTCAAGATGGATTAAGAACTTTATTTACCTGTTTAACTGAAATAATCAAAACAATCAGACTGCCAGTTGCGGTGGCTCACACCTATAATCCCAGCACTTTGGGAGTCTGAGGCAGGCTGATCACCTGAAGTCAGGAGTTGGAGACCAGGCTGGCCAATCTGGTGAGACCCTTGCCCCACCATCTCTACTAAAAACACAAAAAATTTTCCGGGCGTGGTGGTGCACTCTTGTAATCCCAGCTATTCGGGAGGCTGAGGCAGAAGAATCGCTTGAACCTGAGAGGTGGAGGTTGCAGTGAGCTGAGATCACGCCACTGCACTCCAGCCTGGGAAACAGAGTGAGACTCCATCTCAAAAACAAACAAACAAACAAACAATCAGACAAAATACATGGGTAAAAAAGTTTTTAAGACGTTGGTCACCAAGTGCCACAGAACAATGATTCTTGAGCGATAGCAAATAAATGTGGTAAGTCCTATAATTGCCACAGCTTACTGCCTTGAGAAACTTTCCAGACTCATGAGGAGAGAACCAAGGCAGGGCTTGGTGGGCAACCTGGGTAGAGGAGAGATAGCTGAAAGTCTGGGGAGACCTAGGTATTCAAACAACAGAGTATTGGAGGAGAGGAAGATATGCATGAGAATCATCCACACAAATGCATGTTGCTCTAATGCATTAATTTTCATTGAATGCCATATGGCCTACTTCAAGATAGAATACTTCACAATAACTCATCAAAGTTTAGGGCTTCTATTTGGAAAATCCTTTGGAATACACTATATATTTTAAAATATCATTTCTATTTAAGATCATGCATGAGTCATTATCAAAATGGACATGTGAATGACAGATGCACCTGAGAGCAATAACTTAAGCATATTCTTAGGAGTCCTTCTTAGGAGAAGGACCCTATGATCTAAGAAGAAAGTGTGTTCAGAGTCCTGGACTAATGAATCCAGCAATGGCCAACCTGGAGATCCACTCCTTATCTATGAAGGACATCTGAATCCCCAATCCATCCTTGGAATGCAGGCCATACAGGGGATAGAGGGCCTTTGTTTGGCTTAAATGGAGGTTGCCAGGTGGAATTTGCTAAGTGAAAATGCTATACGACCTGCATGCTTTTTACAAATGGTTGCAGTTCTCTTGTCCATCCTCTGCCACTGGACTGTCTCCGTATGTAAGTCCCCTTAATAAACTCTATGTCTCATTTTCTGACCTGGTCTTTTCTTCAGCCTCTCGTACATGGTGCCATCCCTATTGGAATCGATAGAGATCTGGTATGACAATGGAAAGCATTCCTCTATGCATGTTCAGTCTCTCACATCCACTGTAGGACAAATAGGACTTTGGCTCCCTTCAGTTCTGTCATCTGAGGAGGGTCAGTCCAGTCCTTCTGGCAGTTGTGATGGAGAACCAGAGCATGACCATAGAAGGATGGGATCTGAGATGTGAGAGGAGAGGGGAAAGGATTAGCAAAAAAAGCAGCCAACCAATTGTCATAATAAAGTGGTGAAGCAGTGAAGGGCCAGAAGTAAGTAGGAGTCAATTTCTGGAAGGTAGGAGGGTTAGAGGGAAATATTCTTTTGCTATTTTGAAGAAAGTATCTTGGAAAACTCTTCTATGTCTTCTGTGGATAAAAGTAAAGAGGAATTTTAAAGTATTATTGGAGATTGTCTGTTCTCTTCAAGAATTTCAAAAAATGCAAATAAAGAATTTATTTTGAGGAGTCTTATTTTTGTATAAACGATGTCCCTTTGACTGCATCACCTCTCTGAGGCTGAAATCAGAAAGGAACATAGAATAGTACATCATCCATGGGATATTATATCATATTATGAGACTTTAGAAAACATTTAGTTCTGCTTCAGGTGACATATCTCATTAGAGACAGAATTATTTTAAGAATTTAGATTTAGATTCTCACCTAACTCTTTCTTCTGTAAGTCACATTTCATCATTTTAGTCTTTCTTCAACTCTTTGAATGAATGAAGTTTTCCTGCAGTCACTTCTGTTTCCTACCAGTTTGTTATTAAGTTTCTTGCTTTCTGATTGATTGCTTCTGTTCCTTATATTTCTAAACCCAGACTGTCAGATAAGGTCTGCAATGCCCAAACACCAAGCCACAAAATCTTAGTTTGTTTGAATTCCTCTAAGATCAATCTATCTTCAAGGAGATTGGCATTCAAATGTTCAGAATGGACTTGTGGGGAAAGAGTGAAGAGCACATCTCATCTAAACAAATTTGAAAAAAAGAGATGGACTTTCTTGAGCCTGGTGCTTATGAATGTGTGTCCTCTTCTCCCCTATGAAAATTTCGTTTGAATATCATTTTAAAATAAGCGTAGAAACTATTTTCCAAGGCCCTTTCCACATACAGGTGGGTCAGTATTAACACATTATTTGTATTAATAATTCAGTGTTATCTCTCATAACTAATATGCTGCAAATATTGAACGGGGGAGCAGCTGTGTAGCTGCTCACATCTGAAATAAACAAAGAGCCAGTGTCTGTAAAAAGAAAGAGCTCAATTCATAACAAAACTGCATATATTTCTAATATAGGAACTATAGCTGCTTTGCAAAGTTCTCTCTAGAATAGTGGGAGACGTTATTTTACACATTCAGCATTCACCAGCTTTAACTTTCCAAACATAACCTGTTTCAAATATTTTAGGGATATTTTTTGTTCTGTTTTGTTTTTACTTTCCCTAAATTGGAAAGCCAAAGACTGCCTTCTGGGGGTCAAGCACTTGATTGACAGTAGAGCTCTGGTCTGAGCAATCAGAAGGTATCAGGCAATGGTGCAGACAGGAAGAAGCAGAGAATCATCAGGTAGAAAAAAGGCCAGAGGCCCTGGGCTTGAAGTCTTGCCCCATGTCAGAAGTGAGGTCTGAGTAGGCTGGGATCAGGGCCAGGGGAAGGCACATGATGGTGGGATGTTGCAAGGGAGTCAGAAGGAGTTGGGAAAGGAGCATACAGAGTGCTGGAATTGTCTTGGGTGAGACAGACTTTTTCTATTGGGGTCTGCATGCAAAAATCCTGCCAAGTCTCAGTCCTAAACTTAAGTAATCAGGTTGGTGGAAGGAAAAACTATGAAGGAGGTAAGGATTGCTGCCAACATTCTGCCATGACTTTTCAACACCCCTTAGCTCTTTTGGCAGATTCTCTCCATCCAGGTGTTCAGACCCCCACCCTCCCTTTTCCTGAACTACAGCTTCCAAGGTCACCCACATTGTAGTATCATTAGGTATGACAAGCTTCATATGCCAGACTTTTCTCTCCTAGTTTTTCTGCTTCCCCCAAATCTGATTCCTTCTTTGCTTGTGCCCTTGATCTTTGTTGAAGTTAATTTGACAACTGATGGGAGCTGGAGTATCAATGAGTGATAATGTCTCAGTGTTTCCTTCCTTTCTGATCACATCTGTACTCTTCATCATGCAGTAAAGCAGGACTTCTGGAACTGGGCAGGAGAGAGGCCTTTCCTTAATTCCTTCAGATTGTAGCTTATTACTTTGCCCATGAATGGGGGCCGAAAGGATAAAAAAATATACCTTTCCCTCATCCATCACAAAGGCCATGACTAACACTCCTATAACAAAAGACAGGTTAGCAAGAGAAACACATCACACATTTATTTAACAAAGTTTTACATGACATGGGAGCCTTCAGAAATGAAGACCTGAAGACCCAGGGAAAGCTGTGTGTTTTTATGCTAAGTCTAATGAAAGAAGTGGATAGTTGTGGAGAAACATGATTTGACAAAAAAGGTATGATCTAATGGTAATAAACTGGGGGAAAGAGGAGACCCTAGCAAGACCTGTTTGTTCAGATTCTTCCTGATCTCTCTGTGTAGCATTATTTCCCCCTGGATATGGGGCAGGACCCTCTGGAATGAGGGTCTTATGGCCTACTTTCAAGGGAGGTAAGTCAGAATGTGGCCTTTCTAAGTTTTATGGTTTGCTTTGGGGTAGAGGAGTTCTAATTTCTATGACCCACCTTTGGGAGAGGAATCTGGTTTCTATGACATGTCTTAGAAGACAGAAGAAAGAGGGAAAAGGTTGGAGATACCTTGTTGCAGAGGCCTTTCCTATCTCCTCCATTTCAAAGTACTCAGCATGCCAAGATGTCATACTTGGTAGTATTCTGCTCTAAGTCCCTACAGGGCAAGCTTTCAGAGTATGAACTTAGCTGTTAGAGTGGCTGTGGTTTAGGAGAAGTAGAGGGAAGGATGGAGTTTGCTAGAGGGGAAAATCATTCAGAAACTGGATGGAGAATAAAGACCTGTAGAGCTGGGGTGGGAGCTAGGTTGAGAGTGTACATAGACAAGCTTTGAGGGATAAACACAAAATATTGTAAGGACATCATGAGTGGCTGAGGAAATTCCATAAGCCATTTTTTTTAAAACCATGGCTTGAGCTATTGGATTTCTATAGGATGGTTTTTCTCTTCTACTCTGTGAGTATAGCCCAGCCTTCCATTCTTCTAATGCTCATTGGTTCTGTTACAGAGTCTGGGGATGGAAAAGGTTGCTTAGGTGTCAGCCAAGACACTCCCTCTGCTTGGGGGAGAGCAAGCTGCCAGCCCGACTATCCGCTTCCTGCCAGCTTAAGGAGCTTATGACTCAGATTCAAGCAAAACACTGAGCTGAAGCAAAAAGGGAGGGAGGGAACCTTAGCTCAGATGAAGGCTCTAGGGCCAAACTGCATCACTGAAACATCCAAGTCAGGGAAACCCATCAGACCAGGAGGCTATGTGATTTTGTGTTTGTCCTCTGCTTCGAAAACCACAAACATATGCTTACACACAACTCCATTTCTCTCCTACTCATACAGACATATTTCCCCCTGAGCTGAAATCCTGAGGCTGTTGCACCCTCCTGCAGGAAAAGCTACTCTTGGGAGCTGGTCTGAGTATTAGCCATCTCTCAGATTCTGTGATAGCAGAGAAGTCTTCACCAGATGTTATGATTCAGCTGGTGTGTCCAGTTGTCCCTCCTTGCCTTGTGTTGCCCGAGTTTCCATTTCTCACAGAAGGAGGTGTTGAGGGAAGACTACAGACTTATTCAGGAATAACACTGAAATCCAGACACATGTGTTTCAAAATCCTCTGTGATTCCAGTAGCTTCCTGGATATTGCTCTGGTGGCTGAGCTGCTGCCAATGTTGACTTGCTGGTCATTTGAAAGCCAAACTCTACCCCTGAGGAAAGGTACTGGATGAATTATAGAAATCTCTATTCTTTCTTTTCTTTCCTCCTTCCATTACTCATGTACATACCCACATCCCTCCAGCTCCTTCCAGTTGTCTCCTTGTGAGTAAACATTAGTCATTTTCTACAAGTTCCTTACCTCCATTCACTAAAGAGGAATGTGTAATCTCTTTGATTGAAGTTGAAAGTACTGACCTATGTACTTTTGTGTTAAGTATAGTTTATAGTTAATACTACACACATACTCCTTCATGTATGATTGTATTTAATATACATAATCTTCCTAAAATTCAACTTTGGTCTATGTCTTTATTTTTTGAGAAATCCTAAAAACTCTCAGTCAACTGCCTGGGGCCAGATTCCTTAATGCCATTTGGAAATCTTTATGATCTGGACATGACTTAAGCTTCTAGTCTCACCTCACTTAGCATCACTCCTTAAACTGCCTGAGGCTGGTCTCCTTAATCCCCCAACCCAATTTAATTGCCCCTCTCTTTGAAATGCCTTCTTCTAACATCTGTCTAATCCCAAATATTTTTAAAACCCAAGCCCACGTCAGTTCATTATCTTTGTTGAGGCAAATTGAAGGAGAGGGAAGAGGATAAGAATAAGAAGAAATAAGAGAGAACAGAGATAAAGAATAAATAAATGTGTTGAAGCTTAAGGGGAAAGAAGCCCGGTTATGATGTGTGGTTTCCTTGGGAAAGTCTGGCATTATTATACGAAGTTCATTATAGACAGCCCCTTCTTCCTGCCAACACTTCAAGAAGCTCAGAATACAGATTTATCAGTGCACCAAGAGCTGCTAATCCCAGTCAGAAAAATCTATTATTTTTATTCGAGGGAAATCATATTTTCCATGCTTAACAGTGACAGATATGTGGGATGTCAAATTAGAATCAGATGGTAGTTTAGTGGGCATGGATACCATGAAAGTGGAATTAGTTGGAAGAACTAAATTCCAGTTACAATTTAGCCTGATAGTTATATCTCTTTCATCCTTGAGGACTCTTCAATAGGGGTACCAGTGGATCTAAATTGTGCTAGACAGGTTCTCAAGGTTATATCTCTATGCTTCCAAGGCTGATCAATGCTGTTTCTATCAAATGCATTTCTTTCTCAAGTATGCTAACACTGTCCCTCTGGGAACTATCCAGGCTTAGATGGAGAGTCTCCTGCCTCTTTAAGGTATGTATCTCTACTCTAATCCATTACCTGGGAGCTTCACTGTTTAATAATATTACCAGTTATGCCCCATAGTTGGTTCCAGTGAGGCTCTAATACTAATTAGTTTTATATAGTACTTTGTCTCTAGTAGTTTCTCAGTAAATATCTGTTGACTAATAATTTGTTTACCACATTTGTAGGCTATTGTATATTCCCTTGTCTAGAAAAGGCCAGGAGTATAATTAATAATTCAGAGTTACTGGCTGAAATTTTCCAAAAAGCTTCAGATCAAGAATGAGATCATTGGAGAAGGGGAAATGGGTAAGGCACACAATATAATTTTGCTTTAAAATACAATTAAATGGCCGGGCGCGGTAGCTCATGCCTGTAATCCCAGCACTTTGGGAGGCCGAGGCGGGCGGATCACGAGGTCAGGAGATCAAGACCATCCTGGCTAACATGGTGAAACCCCGTCCCTACTAAACAAAATACAAAGAATTAGCTGGGAGTGGTGGCGGGTGCCTGTAGTCCCAGCTACTTGGGAGGCTGAGGCAGGAGAATGGCATGAACCCGGGAGGCAGAGCTTGCAGTGAGCCGAGATGGTGCCACTGCACTGCAGCCTGGGCGACAGAGCGAGACTCCGTCTCAAAAAAAAAAAAAAAAAAAATACAATTGAACAATTTATATTTTTCTTGATGTAAAGGACTTCAGATATATTGAAACTAACCATTTCTTATTTCATAAATACATTAACTAAGGCTCATTTATGTTGATTGTGTTGCTCAAATTCAAAAGAATGGTCAGTGACAAAGTGGGACAAGATTCCACATCTTCTAACTTCTAGGCAAACGGGAAGAATCCCATTAAGCCATTTTTCAATTCTGGAGTCTGAGAATGTCGTTACTTGTTCTTTGTATTTCTTCATGGCCTTCCAGGGGCCAATAGAACAATAGTCACCAGATTTAGGAAATTTCACTATTGTTACCAAATATTTATGTCCAAAGTTCTTTATGTTCATTATTATAGTTTGTAATGAAATAAACATTGCTATAGTTACTATGGAGTTAGACTAAAATTTCAACATATGCTGCTTGAAGGGATTGATCCAGCCACTTCAGATGTAATTTCCAAGGTAAAGATTGTGGTAAGGGTGACTCTTATGAAAGAGTCAGCTTTTGTGAACATTGGGCGTCCAATTTGCAATGTCATCTCATACATTTATTTATTCTGGGATGGGTGAGGTTTGGAAATATTGTAGGATTAGACTGCCTGATACCATGGAGGCAAAAGAAACAGTCATTTTTTTTTTTTCTCCAGGGTGATACATTGGGTACCGAACTACTTTTATAGCAATTTGGGAGTAAATTTTTCTCTATGTGCTCAAATGTAAATCAATTACAGAAACTTTAATTGGAAATATTTTGGAGTAACTTTAACCTAACAGTTCTAAGAATGATATAATTTGTTAAATACTGAGTCATATTTGTTTGGTGACTTTTTATAGTTAAAATAATTTTGGAATAAAAGTGGATTTTTGAAAAGCTTAACCTGATTGTAGTAAGTAGCCAAGATTACAAAGACACATTTTGTGTCTTTTCAGTTGTTTTCAATGTTTTGTTCTGCTCTTTCTTTCAGTAGACTTTTTTTTATAATTATAAAAGACAAAAGAAAGGTGTCAATTTTATTCACTGTCTTGTAATTAACTCAATAATTTACTATTCAAAATATTTCAGTAATTTCTTGAACTGGTATTAATGTACAAGGAAGGTCCAGAAGATATTTTAGTTGGTTTTATCGTTGAAGATAATCCACTGGAATGGCCCAGGATCATAATGACAAAGAATGCTTCAAAGAAATAGTAGAACAATGAACATAATTTCTATCTCTTATAGCTAATTAGACTACATATAGATTCCTCGCCCCAAAGCTAGGAGGTACTATGTTTCTAATGAGCATATTTTTTTTCCTGTGTCCTAAAGACCTGAATAATAGATTGGCTACTAAAATAAAATAAAGCAATACAGCCAGTAAACTACCGACTATCATGTAACCATAATACTCCCAGGCATGAATCATTTTGTAAGTATTATGTTCTATATGTTTTGTGATAGCAATTCTAGAAGAACACATATTTGTGAAATATTTAGTCTGGTTGGTAAAGAAGATTTAATTCCTTTTTGTGGGATCTTGGATTTGTTTCCTATCAGTCTTTCTTTCACAAACTCATCTGTACTCTTATAACACAAAGAAGTTCAGAAGACGTTTTGCCATAATAAAAAAAGAGGAAAAGTATAAGAATAATAGAATTCTCTAAATATTATAGATTTTGTGAATAAAAAAGTGGGAGGAGAGGTGAGATAAAACCATTTTAATTCTGTGGACAAGCATGAGATCAAAGGGAAGAAATGAAAAGTGCTTTGTAGTTATTATTCTTATTTATCTATAGTATCTAGATCCTTGATACTCAGAGTGTGGTCTGTGAACTGGCAACGTGATGTCTCCCAGAGCTTGTTAAAAATGCAGAATTCGGTTCCCACTCATGACTCAGAATTTGCATTTTAACAAGATCCCAGGTAATTCATATGCAAGCTAAAATTGTGAGAATTGCTGATATCTAGATCTTTTTTTTCCGAAAATACCTATGAAGATAGACATATGGAGTGTCTCTGTTTGATGATGTGGTGTAATAAAGTGAGACACCTCTCTTCTGTTTATAAGAGCACAGATTATGAAGGTCTGAAACCACATAGATAGAACTGCTAGCACTAGTCCAGATGGCTAAAATAGAAGTCTTTTTCTACTACTGTTGTTTCTCTTGCAAAATAAGCCAGATCTTGAAAGGATCAGATGTGCCTTAACATCATCATGCTGAGGTGATTTATTTATTATTTCACAAGGAGCAGGGTTAAGGTCTTGTTAACAGGAGGAACTTGTTTTCTTATGTTAGATAGAACTGTGTTGTTTCAGGTAAATATTAATTTTCCTTTTGATAAGGTGTGGTTATTTCTTAGGTAAATAGTGAGAAAATTATTTGCAGCATCCTACAGTCAAGGCCTGAAGTGGATTCAAACATTCTATTTTCTTCTCTGGTCTTAAAACTAGAACCAGTTTTTGCCCCTTGGGATTCTGTAAAGATGAGCTGCATCTTGGGTTAATGGAGGTAACTAGATGCTGAAAATGACCAAGATATTCTCCAACTTTTGTGGGAAGTGAAGAGTTTTCTCAGGGATTGTGTTGAAAAACAAGAGCCAGAATTTGGAAACTAAGGGCTGTGAAGTATGATGAAACACTTAAAGAAGGAGAGGAGTCACAGAAAAGAACATTCAGAAGGGTCTTCCTCTAATTGGTGGTTCTCAATTGTCACCGAACATTGGAATCACCTGGGGGTCTTTTTCAGATTTCTAATTCTTGGATTGCATGCAGACAAATTATATTACAATCTCTGGTGAGACCTAGGTATCAGTAATTTTTTAAAAAAGACCTCCAAGACATTCCATTTTGCAGCTAAGGTCAAAACAATTAAAGATCTGATTTTGTAAAGTTTCCTGTCCTTATGTGGTAAATGTGTTTCATGTGGGGAAGGCTGGTGAGCAGGAAGTGTTCCAGTATCTTGATCATTTGAGGAAAGCTCAAAGGGTGAATGAAACATGGAGCTTCCTTTGGGGAATCACTAGACAAATCTATGTTCAGGCACGAGACAGTGTGACTAAATTCCTTGGTAATGTCTTTCACTCTTTGTGCTTAACCCCTATACTCTAGCAAGAAACACTGTGGGCTGAGTGTAGGGTAGTAGTTGGCCTCCAAGATGGCCTCCACTGACAATTGTGCCCTGATACTCATGTCCTTGTGTGCTTCTCACCACACTGAATCACTTGGGGCTGACCTGTGTGACCAATAGAATATGGTAGAAGTGATGGTATGAGACATCCAAAGCTAGGTCATAGAAGGTATATCAGCTTTTGCTTTAGTATTTGGGATTACTAGCTCTTCCAGAAGCTAGTCATGTTGTGAAAACACTCAAGAAGTCCCTTGGAGAGGAGCCAATTTGCCATTTGTGTGAGCCACCTTAGAAATGGATCATCCAGCACCACTGAGTCTTCAGATGGCTAAGCCCCAGCTGGCATCTGACTGCAACCTCATGAGAGATTCTGAGCCACAACTGCTCAGTTTAGCTGCTCCTGAACTCTTGGCCTATAGAGATCATAGGAGATAATTAATGACTATTGCCTTTTCATACTATTAAATTTTGGAATGATTCCTTACACAGCAATAAATAATGCTGCAGGGCTAATTCAAACCCTGGTTACCCAGTAAAGCAGCCTGTTTGTGAGTATATTTGTAGATAACTTCTAGAGTGTGGCAACAGAGTGGAATATTTTAGCAACAATTGCATTTAATTCTATCTTAAATTACATCAGCTACCTTGTAAGCCAAATATTAAATGTTATGACAAAACTACACTGTTATTAAAATCTTAGCTTTAAATTAGGTTTTAACAAGTAACTGGACAGCATTTGATATACGATTCAGCACTATCCAATAGAACTCGCTGAATTATAAAACCGTTCTCCCAGTTATGGTAGCTGCTAGCTATAGTTGGCAATTGAGCACTGGAAATCTGGCTAGTGCAATTGCTAAACTGAAATTTTAATTTTATTTAATTTGAAATTATGGCTACCATATTGATAGGATAATTCTATACATTTTTGGGGAAGGTTATAGACATGACAAAAATATTCTGCTCTAGGTTGTAAAGTTATGAACTGAGAAGTGGAAAACTCAGTAAGGGGAACAGTTTATCTCTGGAATAATGAATTAAAAGTCTTCCTATTTTACCACCAAATATGTGTCATTTGGAGTGATAGATGACAAACAACAAAGAAACAGATCACATAGTATTGTGTATATCCAAGATGTAACTGAATTCAGGCTCTGTAACAAAAACTTTTGTACTAGAATTTGAGAGGAACTTTAAGATATTGTCAAAGCACAATTATCTCTGTGGTAGGTACTTGATGAGGTGTTTTCAAAAACATTTTTTTTCCTGCCAGCTGCCATCTTATTTCTTTTGCTCATCTTATAAAAAGTGACTAGATACTACTATAAGATATGCTCAGGAAGAATTCTACATAATCTACCACCAACATAATCTGCTTATAATTTCTAATATTTTAGTGTTGTCACTTACTTATGATGGTGTGATAATGATAATGAAAACAATGATAACTATTAAAATCAATTATTATGTTTGAATCAAGTGAATTTATTAGGTTTACTTAATCACTAATATTTATATTTTTTGTATTTAATCAGCACAAACGCTCAAAATTAGGGTATAGAAAAAAGGTAATAGAAATTCCTGGCACCTTTTTTTGTTCTCTACCTTGTTCAAGAGATGTAGAACATCTAAGAAAAACTGGAGATAAACTAAATATTGCAACCTAAATTTTACTTAAAATGGATGTGAAGTAGTGCTAGTTTGAGAGATGAAGCCAGCTGGACTTCCTGGGTCGAGTGGGGACTTGGAGAACTTTTCTGTCTAGCTAAAGGATTGTAAACGCACCAATCAGTGTTCTGTGTCTAGCTAAAGGATTGTAAATGCACCAATCGGCACTCTGTAAAAATGCACCAATCAGCGCTCTGTGTCTAGCTAAAGGTTTGTAAACTCACCAATCAGCAATCTGTAAAAATGGGCCAATCAGCACTCTTTAAAATGGACCAATCAGCACTCTGTAAAATGGACCAATCAGCAGGATGTGGGCGGGGCCAAATAAGGGAATAAAAGCTGGCCACCCGAGCCATCAGCAGCAAACAGCTCAGGTCCCCTTCCATGCTGTGGAAGCTTTGTTCTTTCGCTCTTCACAATAAATCTTGCTGCTGCTCACTCTTTGGGTCCGCACTAACTTTATGAGGTGTAACATTCACTGCAAAAGTCTGAGGCTTCACTCCTGATGTCAGTGAGACCATGAACCCACTGGGAGGAACAAACTACTCTGGATGCGCCACCTTTAAGAGCTGTAGCATTCACTGCAAATATCTGTGGCTTCACTCCTGAAATCCAAGCAAGACCACAAACCCACCAGAAGGAAGCAACTCTGGACACATCTGAATATCTGAAGGAACAAACTCTGGACACACCATCTTTAAGAACTGTAATGCTCACCGTGAGGGTCTGCAGCTTCATTCTTGAAGTCAGTGAGACCAATAACCCACTGGTAGGAACCAATTCTGGACACATTTTGGCGACCATGAAGGGACTATCAACTATCGCCAAGCAGTGAGCACCATCAGACCCCTTTCACTTGCTATTCTGTCCTATTTTTCCTTAGAATTTGGGGGCTAAATACCTGGCACCTGTCAGCCAGTTAAAAGTGACCAGCGCAGCCGCCGGACTAAATACACAGGAGTCAGGTTTTCTGGGAAAGGGCTCTCTAACGACCCCCTACTCTTCGGAGTTGGGAGCGTTGGTTTGCCTGGAACCAGCTTCTGCTTTTCCTGTACTTCTGGGCTGAGCTGAAGTTCGACAGAGAGGAAAGCCATTCAGCTCCAGAGTCCCAACAACAAGTTGGTTGACCCTGTGGCCCTGAGCAGAACTCTCAAAGTCATGTCGCCCAAGCGAGACTCTCCCATCTATCCTATCTATCCTGACCCTTGCCTCCTGGGTCCTGATGCCTGCCAGACAAACTTCCTCTCGCCTCTCTTCTCCGAGGCTAGTCCCGCTTCTAAAAACCACTCCCTGTCTCTGGTGCTTTTCTAGTTTCTCTTGCAAGAATGACTTCTAGTATAAACTTCAGGACTCTATCCCTTTCTTTAGGCACCCAGGCTCACCAATCAGAAAGACATAATTTTTGCCCAAAGCCCAATTGTAGGGGGGACTACCTGGAATTTTAGGAACCCTCCTCAGACAAGCAGGCCTGACAAAAGCTATTCCGGAACGTAGGATATGGGGAGCCTCAGACAATGTATCCTTCCTATTCATATAAGTGAGGACAAAAGGCATCACTCTTCCAACTCTGGAGTTCCCTTCCCTCCCTCAGGGAATGGCCCTCCACTTCGTTTTTGGGGCATAACATCTTTATAGGACAGGGGTAAAGTCCCAATACACCAATCAGTGCTCTGTGTCTAGCTAAAGGTTTGTAAATGCACCAATCAGCACTATGTAAAAAAGCACCAATCAGCACTCTGTAAAATGGACCAATCAGCAGGATGTTGGCAGGGCCAAATAAGGAAATAAAAGCTGGCCACCTGAGCTAGCAGCAGCAACCTGCGCAGGTCCCCTTCCATGCTGTGGAAGCTTTGTCTTTCGCTCTTCAAAATAAATCTTGCTGCTGCTCACTCTTTGGGTCCTCACTACCTTTAAGAGCTATAACACTCACCATGAAGGTCTATGGCTTCACTCCTGAAGTCAAGTGAGACCACAAACCCACCGGAAGGAAGAAACTCCAGACACATCTGAACATCTGAAGGAACAAACTCCGGACACACCATCTTTAAGAACTGTAACACTCACTGCGAGGGTCCACGGCTTCATTCTTGAAGTCAGTGAGACCAAGAACCCACCAGAAGGAACCAATTCCAGTCACAAGTTTATGATCCTCTAATGTTATTTTAATAGGAAAAATGGTAAAAATGTATTGTTACTGTAATTAGTAGTAAGTGGCATGTTCTTTGATAAAGTAAGGATATTTGCTGCCATTAGGCATCTATAAGTAATATCTTTTACTTGATCTGCTTTCTTGTTTTGTACATTTGCTTATACCAATTGCCAATATTTTTTGCTTATTACAAAATAATTTGCTTTTATTTTAGAAAAAGAAAATCAGACATATAGATAATTAAAAGTAGAAAAAAAACGGGCTTTGCACGGAGGTAGGAGCCAGGAGTGAAGTCTCATGAGAAGAGGTGGATTGCCATGGCAGAGCCCTCTGGGCTGTGTGTGTCTGACGCTTGGCCGCCAGAGCCACAGTTGGTTTGCTGAGCCCATTAGTGTGCCCGACCGAGACACGATGCCTCCATGTCTTGCTACTTGTGTCCCCCTAACACGTCTCTCCTCATCAGGAATGTGGCCGATGACACCAGGTCTGAAGATTTACAGTGTGAATTTGGTCGTTATGGTCCTATAGTTGATGTGTATGTTCCACTTGATTTCTGCACTCACCGTCCAAGATTTGCTTATGGTCAACTTGAGGATGTTTGTGATGCTGAAGATGCTTTACATAATTTGGACAGAAAGTGGATTTGTGGACGGCAGATTGAAATACAGTTTGTCCAGGGCATTGGAAGACACCAAATCAAATGAAAGCCAAGGAAGGGAGGAATGTGTACAGTTCTTCACACTATGATGATTATGACAGATACGGACATTCTAGAAGCTGAAGTTATGAAAGAAAATCAAGAAGTCAGTCTTTTGATAACAGTTTAAAAGATTGTATCTAGAAATAGACTGACTGGAAGACCACGGCATAGCAGAAGCCATTCTGACAATGACAGGCCAAACTGCAGCTGGAATACCCAGTACAGTTCTGCTTACTACACTTAAACAAATATCTGAAAGTGGAAAAAGAACCAAAGAAAGGCAGTTCAAGTGACCAAAGGGTGGGTGGAAGGTGCTGCAGTATGATGACTGCACAACTATTTTGACTCTGGTCAGAAAAGATACAAAAATATTATCGAAAACTACATGGAATAATTGAAGTCCTTTCAAATTTGAAAGTAAGCATTTTAGGACAAGTAAAAGGAAATTCAACTTTGTACTTGTGGAAACTAATTCCTCAATAGAAATAGGTTTATACTGATTCATGGCTAATGGGTCCATAATAAATTATTGGAAACTAGGATGTCTGAATATCAAGGAAGATAGCCATAGTGTCTGACAGTGCCTCTGTTGGTCTGTCTTAAACTGAATTGAGTGGGAAAAAGTATGGTCCAATATAAAAGTTCAATTTTTGCCATTATTGGCAAATCTTGCGTTTGTTTATTTTGGTGCCAGTGTTTTCTGCTTAATCATTTGCTGTGGTGGCATCTGCGTTTATTTGCTTGTACACCACATGCAATTTACATCTTCCTAACTACTCTCCTTCCCAGGTAAATTCCAATTATATTTAATATCCAGCTAAGAGGGCCCATCTCTTCTCACCTCTTTCCTGGTCAGTATGTTCAGCAAATATTTATTGAGCCCTTACTGTGGGCAAAACATTGTACTGGATAATTGAGGAGAAAAATAGATAATTCCTTATTCAGTAAATGTCTGTTGAGCACGATCTAGTGAATCATTACAGTGTGGCCTCGTTGTTTTGTTTGAGGTGTATTATTCATAACAGTATTTTTCATCATTCATATACTAATGTAATTATAGAATCCAATATACTATCAAAGGTAAGTAATTGTGTGGTTATCTGCCATTTAAAAGTATCCCATATTTCTTTGATCCCATTATTATAAATAATGAAAAAATGATTTGTTTTAATCTGTAATAATCTGGTTTATTGTGCAGTGACTGTAATATACTAGAGTTAAGTTGTTTACTCTGCCTCACCAAACATATACTAGGAAATAACCCCCAAAATAAGTACTTAACTTTGCATTAGATATAAAGAAGACTGGGTGCTATAATTAGATTATTTTGAGGCAGACAGAGAGCTGTCATCCCACCTGATTAAGTATGTACTGTAATTGAGAAAATGTTCACCAAATTATACTTTTTAGTGATTTACATGTACATTTTATAGGGGACATGGACATGTTCTGTGTATAGTAAATAAATAACTTTTATAGTATCACAAAAAAGTAGAAAAAACACTCAAAATTCTACCATCTGTATCAATTATGTTTACACACACATACACTCACACATATGCACATGCTTTTATTAAAATAAGCATACATTATACTACCTTGAAATTATTTTTCATTTAAAATAGAAGAACAGTAATTATATTTCATGCCATTAAATGTCTGATGCTTATTTTACACAATAGTAACATAGTTACTTATAATTATGAAGTTTTTAGAACATTTGATATAGATTTATCATATATTAGTACTCTAATTTTAGCATAATAATTCTAGAAGAATTTCTTTGACAAATAATGAGTCAATGGCAAAATGGGGAAAATAATAGATGTAAAAGATTATAATGAGAACCTTTCTATTTGAAATAAGAGTCAGATGTATACAGATGTTTCACTTAAATATATGTGAATCTGCTGGGGAGAAGTCAGTCTTCCCTAGGGTGCCAATGGGGAGAACATAACTTTGGTTTGGAAAAGTGGGGAAAATGCTTGAATGTGAAGTCACTGAAACATTTGTCACACCACCAACCTCTTGAGGTCTATCTGAATGACTACTTCAATTCTGAAGATTCAGGGAGGCATTCTGAATGTTCTGGATGGAAGAGTTAAACTCTTCATTCTTCTTTTGCCTGTCATGTTTCCTGAACTTCCTTCCCAGTGTTTCTTGCCTGAGGTCACCTCCAAAATAAATTGCTTTCATGGGAACTTAAATTAAAGCATCCAGTTTTGAAAGAATATTGGGCATAAGAATAAGAATAAATTAAGTGTTTCTTGGAAATACATTAACAAATGACAGAAAGAAAATGGAACTCTTATTGTGAATTAGTCTTCTTCATTAAGGAAAAGATTTTTGTAACTGGAAGAAGTAGAATGAATATGGCAAAAAAATATTGAGTAATGAGAAAGTTTGAGACCTAAGCCCTAGCTGGATTAAATTATTTTGCCTTAATTTAACTTGTCTCCATGAAGTGAGTACATTATGCCTTGGGCTATATTTTAGGCACTGTGAATACATTATTGAGATAGATCAAGGTCTATACTCATAAGCAGGGGTAGATAGAGAATTCCAAATAAAGTGAACAATAGATTACCTTCATAGGGTGATATGTCGAAATGAAGAAAATAAGGCAGGATAATGGAATGATTCATGTATCTTTTCATTCATTTATTAATTAGTTCATTCAATAAATATTTAGTATCTACTAGTGTAAGATAACTACATGCTAATTTTTAAGAAGTATCAGAGAAGATTTCTGATAGAAATCTGAACTATAAAAATTATGTATTGGCTTTCAAAAACGGTGATGATGACATCATCAGGATTACTGTCTTTTCTTTTTCAGCTTAATACAATATTCTAGAATAGATTATCGTGCATGTGGTTTATGAACCTTTGGAAAATGATATAGCTAATCTCGAGGAGCTAGCATACATTTGTTCAAGACAAATCATGCCAAATTCACATGATTTCTCATTTTGTTAGAATCTCTAGAGAACAGAAAATTCCACGCATAAAATACATACCAATTGTTTCAATTACATCAATGCAGGTGACAGTATTTTTTGCAAGAATATCATACGTAAATAGTAGATTGAATGATAGAAGTGTTGATATTTAGTGTCTAAACATATGCCTGTTATGTGTTGGCAAATGGCTCTGTAATTTTCTAATGGAGTTTGACTGGCTATACTCTTAGCCCTGTTGACTCAGTATTTCTATGGATAATTTTGATAGAGTTTTAGATGTGAGGATGCATAGATGGCTAAAACTATAAGTGACAGACTCAAGAATAAAAGTCGTCAACTGACAGCAACACACTGAGCCAAAACCATTGAAATGAGATTAAGCAGAAACAAGTTTCAAGTTCTGTTTAGGTTCAGAAAGTCAGCTGCCTGAGTGAGCTTGTTTGGCCACAGTACAGATGGCAGAGGTCTGGGATTTCCATTTGATGACAACCATAAAATAAGCCAATGGTATGATGTGGCTGTTAAAAAAATAGACCAGCACAATCATGGGTTGCGTTAATGAAATATTGTGTCTAGCACAATAGAGGCCCTAGAAAAGACAATTTCACCAAATTCTGTGAGATGATTTATGGGATGAAGTGTCAAACTCGTTACACTATATTTTAAGACTTCTCCGATTGGAATATGTTCAGAAAAAGACACACAGAATTTTGAAAATTCTATCTTTTGAGGCAAGGCCAAAAGTAAACGGGTATTGTTTTCCTTCAGGAGAAAAGACCAAGGAGATATTTACAGAGTGCTTTTGTCTACGTGGCAAGCTTTCATGTTTAAGAAGCCAGAGAATGCTAATCTAGGATATTGGTTTAAAGTTAGAGAAATGAAGATTTTGGTCTAACATGAGGAACAAAATTGTGTTGTCCAAAACTATTGGTTCATGGCTAATGTGAAGGAAGATACCTTGCATTAGAGTCATTTAATCCAAAAGATTCATCCCAGAGTAGGGACTTGGATTAGATGGTATATCAGTTAGTTATCTATCACTGTATAACAAATTACTTCTAAATGTATAGGCTTAAAAATTTATTTTGCCTTAGCTTTTATGGGTCAGGAATTCAGAAGGGTTTGCCTGGGTAGTCTCACTTGGCGTGTCTCATGCAGTTGCAGCTATATATTGCCTGTAGTTGCAACCATATAAAGAAGGCTTACTGGACTGAATGTCCAAGGTACCTCACTCAGGTTTTCCTGGCACTTGGCTGAGAGATTAGCTGGGGCTGCCACTGGAGCATGTATATGTGATTTTTTTCTGTGTCCTCAACTTCTGCACATTATAGTTTCTTCAGGATATTTAGGGTTCTTATATGTAAGCTCATGGATATAAGTAAAAGCATGTGTCCCTGCGCTCAAGACAGAAGCTGCATTACCCACTATGATATAGCCTCAGAAATTGTGCTACCTCTTTTGACCATTTGCAAGTGAGTCAGAAGCCCACAAAGATGGATGAAAGAGAGATGTAATCCCACTTTTGAAGGAAAGAGTGTCCAAAATTTGTGGACATTTAATAAAACTGTCACAGATGACCTCTTAACTTCCAGCTTGAAGTCTCTGATTTTATGTTAATTACTGATGGTAAGATTTTTAAGGGAAATAGGGAATGTAGATGTTATCTTCTAAAAGTTTGGGGTTAATATCTGAGCTTTCTTGACATTATTCATTTGTACTATCACAAAGGATTTTTAGTTTAATTTTATACACACATATACAGGATGTTATGAGAAATGCAAAGCTAAAGAAATTTATTGGAAATTATGAATATAAATACATAAATCAGGAGAGTTCAGTGGGTTTAGGCCAGTGGTAAGGCCATGATGAGACCAGGCATGCAATTGACAAGCTCAGACAATGGAGGCTTCTACACTTGCCTTGTTGGGTAGAAATATCTATTAGAAATAAACATTTAAATTTAATCACTGTGTTTGGTGATAGATAAACTTGGAGTGTTGTGCCTTATGAAGTTGTGCTCATCCAGATGGAGACCTAACTTTTCGCAGAATCTCAATTCCAACCACCACCAAAGACAGTATATATACGCTGGTTTCCAGTACTACTCATTTTGATAACTTCTAAGGGCCTTGATTCATACCTAACTGTTGCTCTCATCTGCCCACTAGAGTTTGATGTGGCCTTGGGTTCTCCTGATATCTGACCCTGGCCATACCCTAACACTACTTCTGCTACTATAACTAGATTTTAGCCTTTTTACTACTTCTTAATAGCATCTGACACCAGCCCAACCGGGATTTGTCTTGATGTCCCTAGGAGGTGCTGACGATCTCCCCACTCTTATCACATCGCTGAGATTCACCAATTTTTTTTTTTTTTTTTTTTTGAGACGGAGTCTTGTTCTGTTGCCCAGGCTGGAGTGCAGTGGCGGGATCTTGGCTCACTAGGAGCTCCACCTCCCGGGTTCATGTCATTCTCCTGCCTCAGCCTCCCAAGTAGCTGGGACTACAGGTGCCTGCTACCATGCCTGGCTAATTTTTTTTGTATTTTTAGTAGAGATGGGGTTTCACCGTGTTAGCCAGGATGGTCTCGATCTCCTGACCTCATGATCTGCCCACCTCAGCTTCCCAAAGTGCTGAGATTACAGGTGTGAGCCACCGGAGATTCACCTATTTCTAATTACGCTTTAGAGATTCTAGTAAAAGGACTTTGTTTATCATAGATTTTTTCTCACTTGAGGAAGTACATCTATGTTTTTATAGAGTAGCCTCTAAATAAATATTTGGTGGAGTTAATCAGACTTGAATCCTTTCTTGGTATTTTCCTCTGCTCTTTTTATCTTCTCTTGAGATGAAGAAAATAGAAATAGTGATTGATGACTTGCCTTTTCCACCATTTATTTTTCTTACTGACTCAAGTTTTAATTAACTTCTTTTACATTGATTGGTGCTTTTTTGGACATATTTTGCAGAATATTTCCTAGAATTCCTGGCTGCCGCTTTACTTGTACCTCTCAAGCAGGAATTAGCCAGTACTTTCAAAGATGATTTTGTTGAAAAAGTATAATCTGCCACTTGCACAGTAAATACTTTTCATATTTTCATATTTTGACCTTAATTTTATTTCAAATCCTACTTCCATTCACTAGATCAAAATAGGAGACCTCTAGGTGAGAAGAAGCACCAGCTATAGCTCAACAGAAAAA
Organism: Homo sapiens; assembly: GCF_000001405.40. NCBI lineage: Eukaryota > Metazoa > Chordata > Mammalia > Primates > Hominidae > Homo > Homo sapiens. The sequence goes on along the minus strand of NC_000020.11, from coordinate 7,825,873 downwards.
ACAAATAATAACAATTTTTTTATTATAAAATATTACCTTAATTAGAACTTCCCCTTGATATACAAAGTACAGTGAAGAGTCATGAGATCTAAATGGCACTTATCAATGTCCCCATGGATGGGAATTCACAAATAGGTAATTTGGATAAACAACATGCTGGTTTTCAAGGATTGTAATGAGACTCTTATCTCATTCTTTAACTTTTTTTCCCCTTTAAAGAACAAAAACATACTTATTTGCGACAAAGCTACAAAACAATCCCTACAAGAAGTCCAAATCTTCCTCTTCACCAATACTCTTTCTGGTGGAATATTTCTACCCCAGGCTAATTTTAAATTTCTTCAGACCTTTCATGTACAGCCCAGTTTGTGGTAACCCAATTGTGTCAGATGTATCAACCCATCCAGGTATACGCTCAGAGTTCAGGCCAACATTTGGCCAATGTCTGCAAAGTCTGGCTAAATAGATTATTTACTTTTTTGGCAGCTGAAAAAGAGCTGAAATATGGTTTGAGTTTTTGCGTCAAATGTTTTCTTGAAAAATCAGAGAATTTACTGCTGTAAAATGTCCAGTGATTGAGTAAGAATATACAATAAGGCAGCCTGTTTTTCAGCAATATATATGCTCTTATTAAAGCATCAGTGACACATATCCTGTGTTATTCTTGAATCGTTACTGGTGGTTACAACCATCCTTTACCATAATCAAAAGAATGCCAAAAAAGAGAAGGCAGGGAATATTCTCCTGAAGTCATTATCGCTTGATAAATTTGGAGTGTTTGACTGGTCTCTAGAATTGTGATCTCAAAAATATTGGGTTACTTTGGACGGGTAAAAACTTGCCATTTCATTGTCTCAGACTAACAATGGATCCGGAACCTGAGTTGCGGGGCCGCTCATGGCAAGAGGCAATTGAAAAGATGAGAATAGATGTTAAACTTCCTCTTACTAGAGGCTGCGTCTGAGCTAGTGCTAATGTATACACAATTTTCAGTGTTCAGATGACTTAAAACAAGAAGAAAAACAACATGTTGATAACTTTTATGCAATTTACAAGCGACTACAGAAAGTGCAGTCATGTTTTCTAATGGAAAAAGAAAAGAGAAAAGGTATTTATTTTTTAATGATCACAAATAGAGTCCTGGCCAGTTAAAAAATTTCTACTAATAAGGAATAACATTCTTTGTAAAAAATTAGACGTAAATAAAGCACAGGTAATAACAAATAAAATGACAACAACAAAAGTAAAACCCAAGCACATCATGATTCTAGCTTAAATAATTACTGATAAAATATATGTAATCTATATAGTACTTCTAAGAGTTTTGATGCACATATGTTAAATGTATATTTAAAATATTAAAAATATTGAGCAGATAAATTAAGTAGATCTTATTTTATACTGCATTTTATGCATACTTTTTCAGTTAATATATGTTTTTCATGTCACATTTTTTCGAAGCCCATTACTTCTAGTTATATCCTATTTTATTATAAAGATACAGCAACTGACTTTTGAGTAAGACTTCCTGTTGAATACTTAGGTTTATTGGCCATTTGAAAAAATTAATAAACACTACTATGATAAACCAGCTTGTAAATTAAATGTTACATAACTAAGTAATTTTTCTCCTCAGGAAAAATTCTTGAAAGTGTAAAGCCTTCAGTGACTTCACATTGGCTATAGAATAAAGTCAGGTTTTCTCACTTGGGCTCATATTTCCTCCACTCAGTTCCAGCCACACTGGACATATGATTAGTCTATTCATTGAGAGTTTGGCTTTCTTCCAGCTGGGCACCTAGTAGGAGTGCATTTCCTGGGCCCTTTTGTTGAGGTCCCATGACTAGTCTTATTATTATTTAAAAAATTATTTTTTTTAGTTACATAGTAGATATATTTATTTATGGAGTACATAAGATAGTTTGACACAGGCACACAATGCATAATAATCACTTCATGGTAAAAGGGCATCCATCCTCTCAGATATTTATCTTTTGTATTACAAACAATCCAGTTATGCTCTTTTAGTTATTTTAAAATGCACAATTAAATTATTTTTGACTATAGTCACCCTGTTGTACTATTCAATGGTAGATCTTATTTTTTCTTTCTAATTCCTTTTTGTATCCATTAACCATCCCTACTTCCCCCATACCCTCACTACCCTTCCCAGCCCTAATAACCACTCTTCTACTCTCTATCTCCATGAGCTCAATTGTTTTAATTTTTAGATCTCACAAATAAGTGAAAATATGCAACGTTTGTATGTCTGTGCCTGGCTTATTTCACTTAACATAATGACCTTTAGGCCTTTTAGCCTTTTCCTCTTACCATCGTGACTGATAATATTCTAGACAGAGGCTGATTTATCAAATGGATCCAGAGTGAGAGGAATGAGAAGTAGAGCTGATTAGAGCAATGTCAATTCACAATTGCTATAAAATGTGAGTACAAAATAAAACTTTGGGCCAGACATGGTGGTTCATGCCTGTAATCCTAGCACTTTGGGAGGCTGAGGCAAGCAAATCACCTGAGGTCAGGAGTTCGAGACCAGCCTGACCAACCTGGTAAAACCCTGTCTCTACTAAAACTACAAAAATTAGCTAAGTGTGGTGGCACACACCTGTAATGCCAGCTACTCAGGAGGCCGAGGCAGGGGAATCACCTGAACCTGGGAGGTGGAGGTTGCAGTGAGCTGAGATCGTGCCATTGCACTGCAGCCTGGGCGATGAGAGTAAAACTCTTTCTCAAAGAACAGAAGAAAGAAAGAAAGAGAGAGAGAGGGAGGGAGGGAGGGAGGAAGGAAGGAAGGAAGGAAGAAAGAAAGAAAAATTTTGGTAGTTTAAATCACTGAAATGTTAGGCTTGTTTGTTACTGCAGCAAAGCATGGCTTACCCTGACTGATACACTGACCTTTATGTGCTTCATTCCTTTTCCTTCCTTATGTTATTTGTACATATTATTACATTTGCCTGCCACTTCCCTTCCTTTACTAGTAAACATTTACTTACTCAATTCTTTAAGGCTTACTGCACCCTAGAAAATTTTCCCAAAATTCTGGGACTGCCCAATTTACCTTTATTAGGCACTTTTAAGTCCACATAGATCTTTCTCAGTGCTTGCCAAAATGGCAGTTTTACATTGTTTACTTTATTAGTATGCCTATATTTTTTGTAATGTGTATCTTGTCTTACAGATCATAACCACTGTGAGAGGTAGATATTTTACAAAGTGCTTGGCACATAATAATCACTCAATAAATTATTTGCTAAATGAATAAACATCAGGACACATTTGTAAGTTTTATCATTTTCTAGACAAATTGATTTCTGAAAACATTTCATACCATATTGCATGAAAATGGCCATTCTTCTTAACCTGTATCAATAGCTTGCACATTTTAGAAATAAAAAGATCTCATTGCTCATTGTTTCAATTTTAATTTCTTTCGAAGTATGAAATATTTTCATTGCTTCATTGGTCATTTATATTTCTCGTGGCCTATTCATATTTTTTGCTCAATTTGAATTGGGTTTAAATCACTTACAATTGAAAGGATATTGAATAATGTAAAATACCAAAGCAATTCTGGTTTGTTCTGCTCTGTGGATATTGCATGTCACATCTTTCTGGGTATCCAGTCCTTTCTGACTTTTTCCAGAACATTCTGAGTGTGAAAATCACTAACTTGACAATATCAAAGGTATTGAGCAGCTAGTAATAAGGAAATATTTTTATTCCTAGTCCACTAATTTTCCTTCTGCAGAATGTTTTTAAGAATCCCATGAAGAGACCCAGGTAACTAATAGGACAGCATTTGGACTGTGAAGGTATTATCAAGTCACTAATACTTTAGAACTCTGATACTATCTTGTCTAGCTGTCAACTCACCAAACGAACTAAACTCAGTCATGTATGCACAAACCAAAACCACACAAATTATAGCCTAATTTCTGTTACGATACATAGGACATGGCATAACAAGATTACTTGTAAACTAATTGTTTTCTATTCTTTGGACCCAGATAATTCAAAGTATGAATAAACTCATTCAAAATAAATATATTTATCTATGCTTTGTGGTTCCCACTTCTAGTCAAATGTATCCTTTTATTTTCCTATAAGGGTTTCCTCTATAAAAAGTCACAAAATAAGTTTTCTATTAAGCTTTTTCATCTTTAGCCTTAAAATATAAATCCTGTTCTCTTTGTAGGAAGAGCTAATTTCTGGTGAATTCTATTTCCTAGAGAAAATGCTCTATATTTATGTCTTTGTATATATGCATACATATATTTATATACATATATATGTCAAAAAATGTATATACACACTTTCCTAATTTGATCCTGACATTCACATGAAAATTCTAGAGGGCCAACTTTGCAGTGTTGAGCTTCATTACAGTGTTGATCTCCACAAAACAAAACAACAATAACAAAAACTACTTTCTTTTTGTCTGACACTTGTGATCTTTTCCTCTAGAATTTGGTGTTGTTCAATTGATTGCTCTGTTTCAGTGAAGCAAACTGCATTTCCAGATTTAGAGCGCACCATCTGTTATAGAGGTATGTTGAAGGAATTATTAATAAATATCTCATATATGTCGTGCATTGTTTCAGAAAGCAGATACCTGCAGAGAGGACCAATACCAGTGTCCACTAGATTCACTGAACTGTCTTGGTGTTTGAGTGAGTTTTCCCACCTTGTCACAATCACGATATCCTTTGTGTCTTGTTGGGCTGGCCTACAATATATTACTGTTCTACGTACCACACACATGTGCCACAGATGGTCATTTTTAATTTCAGAGCTCAACTGTAATAAATTCAGCACATTAATATTTGGCTAAGATTAAGTGCTGGGAGGCTATCACGGAAAACTCATCAGTCAAGTCCATCTCTAACCAGGCAGTGGTGATTCCATTTCTACAAAATAAATCTTTGTTATTCTCTCTCCTCTGCCTCACAACCTATTTTCTTTCTTTGCGAGGAAGATGTAAATCGAATCCACACGCTAACATTTGCTTACAAGCTGTGCAAAAGAACTCAGGGTTTTGGTATTTGGTTGAAAAAGACCTTTCTGAGAGACATGCTAATAGCTGTGTAAGTCAGAGTGGGTCCTGGGTTTCTTTTTGCCCTTTGTTTGGACTCTGCATTTATTTTATTTATTTTATTATATTTTTCTAAATCAAATCATTAGAAGGCAGCTGGATCAGCAGCAGCAATTCTAGTGGAATCACTCTGTTGAGGGCATGATCCGATTTCTGTACTTAGGTTAAGAAAGAAGACAACATCTTCAGATGGGCATGTGATGAGAAAATACTAATACCAGATAAAATTGGACAAAACAATCACGAAGAAGCCCACAGAGATTAATATGTGATCGTTAGGGATGTGAGAGAGTGAGAGAGGGTGACTAAGGACTAAATGAGGTACATATGAATAGGGAAAGATGAACTCTCAGGAACTTTGAGAAGAACGTTATTTAAGTTTGGAAAAGGTTTTTTCACCATGGAGTTTCTTCCACCTCCTTGCCTTGAATATAACCTGTAATTCCTCAAAGGGCACTTCTTTCCTTGTAAGCCTCTTAAAGCAGTGACATTTCTTTTCTCTGGCTCTATGTGCCTCTGAGTTTGGAGGTGTATTGGTATACACCTTGCTTCTCATTGCCACTTTGAACTCATGCTACCCTGGCATAGCACCTTCTCCATCCTCTGGTTTTGTCCTCTATCCAGATCTTGGTCACTCGTTTCATTTATCAAAGACTTGGGCAACTGGTCCATAGATTTCTTCTTCATCCCAATTCTTTAGCATCCACATATCTTTCCTTATACTCATCCCTTCCAAGTTGCCTTAGCTGCCCCTTCCCACAGTCACTCCTTGAACTTTGTCTGGACCTTGAACTGCTCAACTTTCATGAATTCTTAGTCATACACTAAGCACAATGTTGTCTCCTTCCCAATTTTCTGCCCAACTTGAACCATGACCCACTGTCATTATTCTCTCTCTCAATAGACCCCTATCCATTCTTTCTTTCAATTCACTCATTTTTTCCTTTATTTCTCTCCATTTAAATCTTATACTCCCAAATTTGTTATTGCAATAATATTATTGCCAGTAACCCAGCTGGCACTGGCTCTTTTGTCCATATTTACATTGGAATATCTTAATTTTGTCCCCATTTAATTGCCATCTTTGTGTTTACATCTGAACAGATCCACATGGCAGATATGCTATACTATTTCATGAATTACACATTCCTGGTCACCAGTCTCAATAGTTCCATTTTCCTGGCCATTTTGTTACGATTTATGGTCATCTTATTCTTTTTACTCTTCATGAGGGTCATTTCAAATAGCTCCACTCTTCTCAGTGTCTAACCCCTCTTCTCCGTTAGCGTCAGATGATATCACTTCCAATTAAGTCCTATCCCTCAACCTGGCTTTTATATCTTATCTTTTCCAGTCATTTTATTAACTTGGATTATTTATCCCTTTCTCCCTTAAATATTTAGCCTGGATCCTTCCCATTGTTCTTTGAATAGGCTGAACTTTCCACATGAAATATTAATTAAACAATCTACCATCCTCCAGCTACAACCCTATATCTTTCTTTTCACTGTCTGTAATTGTTAATTTAGTGTGTTAACTTGGCTAGGCTATAGTAATCAGTTGCTTGGCCAAACACTAGTCCATGTGTTGCTGTAAAGGTATTTTGTAGATGTGATTAACATTTACAATGAACAGACTTCATGTAAGGCAAACTACCTTCCACAATGTAGATGGTTCTCATCCTATCAGTTGAAGATCTTAAGAACAAAGATGGAGGTTTCCCAAGGAAGAAGGAATTATTTCTCCAGACTTTAACATATAAATTCTACCTGAGTTTCTAGCCTCCAAATTCAAGACTGCCACATCAATTTCTACCTGAATTTTCAGACTGCCCACTTGCCTATGGATTTCAGACTTACCAACCTCTATGACTATGTGAGCCAATTTCTTAAAAGCTCTGTATCTCTAATATTGTGTATATATATTATTATTAATATTATATATAGACTCACGCACAAAAACACACACATACACACACACACACACATATGCCAATGTCACTTTCTCAGTGAGAACTTTCCTGACCACACCATTTATGATTACAACTCCTTTCCCTTGCAGCCCTTCCTGTGTTCCCTGTATATAAGCAGCTGCTTGTACTTACTCACTTAATGTCCTCTGGAACAATCACATAAGCTCCTGGAAGACAGGATTTTTTTTCCTTTTTTCATTATCCTGTATCCCTGTTACCTAGAACAATGTCATAAAATATTTTTATTTATGAGATGAATAAGTGAGTAAATAATGAATCTGACTTTTAAAATTAGTATTCAAAAATCATTATGTAATACTTGCATGGTATGCGATAATGTATTTTAAGTAGTAGTTTGTATTACTAATAAAGTTTTATTAGATTATTTAAATTGAATCTTTAATAGTCTTCAAATCCAAACTGTATAAATATAATTTAAACTGAGAACAGATGCTATTTACTTATAAAAGTAAAATTATAGAATTACAAAATTTAAAAATGGTTGTAAAATTATAAAATTAAAAAGTATGATCGATTGACAAGTAAATTAAAAATGGCATGCTATATCATGTTTTGTTAGAGGATAGAAGTTCATTACAATATATTTTGAAATGTAGTTATATATTTAATCATCATAAATGCAATCACTTTTGTGATCTGATTTTTGGAATATTCCCTTTTTGCAACAGGAATCAGCTGGTATATTGTTCTAAAAAGTGTGTGTGTTTCTAAGTTATAAGATATATATTTTCATTCCAGCACTTTGAGAGGCCAAGGCGGGTGGATCATGAGGTCAGGAGATCAAGACTATCCTGGTTAACACGGTGAAACCCCGTCTCTACTAAAAACACAAAAAAATTAGCTGGGCGTGGTGGTGGGCACCTGTAGTCCCAGCTACTCAGGAGGCTGAGACAGGAGAATGGCGTGAACCCGGGAGGTGGAGCTTGGAGCTTGCAGTGAGCTGAGATTTTGCCACTGCACTCCAGCCTGGGTGACAGAGCGAGACTCTGTCTCAAAAAAAAAAAAAAAAAAAAAAAAAAAAAAGATATATATTTTCTCTTTTAATAATAAATTTTCTAAGAGCTAAAGTTATTCTGATTTGCTCTGCAGGCATTTTATCCAGAAGAATTAAATGTCCTGATTTAGTGGTGGTCATTTTGAGAAAAATTCATATAATTAGTATAATTTATGTGATCGCTCTATTATAATTGATGCTTTTTAGTAATCAAGTCCTAGACAGGATATTTCTCACCTTCCTGTAAACTCTCATGACATTTTGCTCACATTTCTAAAGCACAGCCCACACTATAGATTTTTATTGTCTTATATCCAACACAATGTTACAGTCAATTCCTGACATACAATAGCTACTTAGTAAATGCTTCTTGCAGGAATGAATGAATGGATGAGCACTATCAGAATAGGTGTTTAACCATCTTGACAATAAGATTGCTATAATTTCAACTTTATATTTTCATTTTAAGCAAATGTGCTCTTCAGTGGGTTATAGAAAACATACTTCACTGTTTATTGCCTACTCCCATTCCAATAATGCTATGCTTACTTATCTCCCTCTTGATAGTCCATCAGTGATTCTGAAGCCATGTGATGATCTAGATCCATGCTATGCAATGTGAGATCCAGTGATAAGCTGCATCAGCATCCCCTACAAGCTTGCTAGAATCATGGACCCTCTCCAGACCCTACTAAATCAAAATCTGCACTTGACCAGGATCCCAAAAAGATCTATAAGTTCCCCAGCACATCAATACTTGAGATGCTTGAGAAGCACTGCTCTGGATCAATGATTTTTGTTTCCTTCCTTCTCCTTTCCCGTCCTCTTTCCTCTCTTCATCTTTCTTTCTCAAACAGAGCATTTTTAAAAATAAAAGTTTATAGGGAACTTGGTATATGAAACTGTTAATGTGACATTTTATTCCTACAATTTCTTGTATGAATTCAAATAAAAAAATCACTTTTAAAATAATATTATAATAATAGTAGGGTCATAATGATATGTTTGATATTGGTTACTGGCTTTTATGGTTAGCAGTTATAGCATTTAATTCATTAAATGTGTCAGCATTCAGTTTATTTATATTATTTGTTTTGATTAAAAAGTCAAGAAAATTCCACTCATTTGAAACCATAATTACATGTATTAACTTTTTTTTTTTTTAAAAAAACCCTTGTTTTATAGTGTTAAGATTAACTGAACTAAAAACCTGAAAGTGAATTATTAGGGCACTATTTTGTTATAAATTGCAAACAATATCTTATAATTGGTAACATTCTTTATTGTAATTGTAAAAGTCAAACGACAAAAGGCCAAAATGTATCATATAAAGGTAATGCAGTAATATGCGATTATTAAAACATGATGGACTGCTATATGTGAACTTATTATTAAACAACTGCTTTGACAGAAGCTTCCTCTGAGTGATAAATGTAAGCTTTGACTGAGGCTTGAGTATGAGATACAGGGGCTAGTGCTGTAGCCCCTTGATCTTCAAGTATGGTCTGGGTATAGCAATATCAGTATTGCCTGCGAACTAGTCAGAAATGCAGAATCTCACACTCTACCTGGAGAACACTGAATCAGAATCCCTGAGAGTGGGGCCCAGCAATCAGTGTTTTAACAAGTCAAGTGATCTTGATGCAGTTCCAGATTGAGGGGGTGCTTAGGTAGAAGTCCATGCACTTGGACATTATAACTACATAGGTATGCATAGGCCAGAGGTGACACAAAGATCAGTTTAGAAGCCCTAGAGTAGTGCAAGTCTTAATTAATGATTCATTTATAAGCATTTTAAATATTTGTAGACAGAAGGTAGAAGATGCATTTAAATTTCATGTAAAATAAATTAACTTGAATGCAAACGATTATTCTAATATATCCAGTTTATAGTATAAATTAAATATTTGTTTTGATTTTGTATTAATGTTTTACAAACAGATAATTATATTTCAAAGAGAAATGTGGATTAAATGTCTGGAAGTCCTGAGATAAAATCCCATCACTACTATGTAGTTGATCACAATTTTCTGGGACAGAAAGGCAGAAAGAGACAGTTAAGACTCTGGGGTCTCTGAGAACTAGGCAAATAGTATTATGAGATAAGAAGAGGAAACCTCTGGCTAAGAATGTGGATAGATAGGGAGCTTCTAGGCCCAGGCAGGGAGGAATTACACACTTAGGAACTATAAGCCCATTGATATGGTTGTAGGGTTTTGCAGTCTGATGGACAAAAAATGTCAGCTTCTTTTCTTTTGATTTTTAAACACTTTATTAAGATTTAATTCATGGCCAGGCACAGTAGTGCATGCGTGTAATCCCAGCACTTTGGGAGGCCGAAGCTGGCAGATAACTTGAGGTCAGGAGTTCGAGACCAGCATGGTCAACATGGCGAAACCCCGTCTTTACTCAAAAACAAAAATTAGCCGGGTGTGGCTGCAGATGCCTGTAATCCCAGCTACTTGGGAGGCTGAGGCAGGAAAATCACGTGAACCCAGGAAGCGGAGGTTGCAATGAGCCCAGATCGTGTCACTGCACTCCAGCCTGAGTGACTGAGACTCAGTCTCAAAAAAAAAAAAAATAAAATAAAAAAATATAAGATTTAATTCACATACTATGAAATTCACCAACTTCACATTTATAGTTTGGTGATTTTTAGCACATTCACAGACTTATACTACCATCACCACTATATAATTTTAGAACATTTTAATCATCCCACAAAGAAACTTCGATATCCATTTAGCATCACTATCCATCTTTCCTACACCCACAATCCTCAACTCTAGGCAAGCTCTACTCTACTTATGTTTCTATAGATTTGCCTATTCTGGACTTTTCATATAAGTAAAATCATTTAATACAGTTTTTTGTATATTTTTTATGCCTGACTTCTTTTATTTTTCATGTTTTCAATGTTCAACCACATTATAGAATGTATCAGCACTTTATTACTTTTCTTGCTGAATAAAATTGCAATATGTGATCATATGGATATAACACATTTTATTGACCATTCATCGATTGAAGGACATTTGGGTTGTTTCTACTTTATGGCTATTATGAATAATGCTCGAGATGAATATTTGTGAATACTTTTTTTTTGTGGACATATGTTTTCATTTCCCCTGGGTATACAATTAGGAGTGGAATTACCAGCTCATATGGTAACTCTATGTTTAACCTTTAGAAGGACTGCCAGACTGACTTCAAATAATATTGGTTGCATCATTTTACACTCCCACCAACAAGGTATGAGGGTTCCAATTTCTCCACATCCTGCCAACACTTGTTATTGTCTGTCATTTTGATTATAGCCATTCTAGTGAGTATGAAGTGGCTTTTCATTGCGGTTTTTACAGGCAATACCAATTGCTGGAAAGGATGTGGAGAAAAAGAAACTCTCTTAAACTGATGGTGGGAATGTAGATTAGTACAAGCACTATGGAGAGCAGGTTGGCAGTTCTTCAAAAAACTAGAAATAGAGCTACCATTTGATCCTGAAATCCCACTGCTGGGTATATACACAAAAGAAAGGAAATCCGTATATCTAAAAGACATCTACACTTCCATGTTTGTTGCAGTACTGCTCACAATAGCCAAAATTTGGAAGCAACCTAAGTGCCTATCAACAGAAAGATGGATAAAGCAGTTGGTGGGAGGGGTGACAGTGGGCACAGCTTCAGCCAACTTAAACGTTCCTGTCTGCCGGCTCTGAAGAGAGAAGCAAATCTCCCAGCAGAGCACTTGAGCTCTCCTAAGGGACAGACTGCCTCCTCAAGTGGGTCTCTGACCCCTGTGCCTCCTAACTGGGAGACGCCTCCCAGCAAGGGTCGACAGACATCTTATACAGGAGAGCTCTGGCTGGCATCTGGTGGGTGCCCCTCTGGGACGAAGCTTCCAGAGGAAGGAACAGGCAGCAATGTTTGCTGTTCTGCAGCCTCTGCTGGTAATACCCAGGCAAACAGGGTTTGGAGTGGACCTCTAGCAAACTCCAGCAGACCTGCAGCAGAGGGGCCTAACTGTTAGAAGGAAAACTAACAAACAGAAAGGAATAGCATCAACATCAACAAAAAGGACGTAAACACAGAAACCCCATCCAAAGCTCACCAACATCAAAGACCAAAGTTTGTAGAGCTTAAGAGAAAATCAATTAGTTTTTCACCACTAAGTTTTATTTTAGCTGTAGGTTTTTTTATACATATCTCTTATTAGAATATAAGAATGTATTTTGAAAGCATTTTTATTGTTAATATATGTGAACGTTTCATTAATAATGTTAGATTTTATTGTAGGCTTTTCCTGCATGTACTAATGTTCCAATTTTAATATGGTAAATTGCAATGACTGAATGATGAATGATGAACTCACCTTACATTCCTGGGATAAACTCCACTAATTGTGATTTGTTATGCTTTTCATATATTACTAAATTTTATTTGTCAATACTTGTTATGAATGTTTGTGTCTATATTCGTGAACAATAAACGTTTATAGCAGTTTTTCCTTGTAATGCTTCTATCTGCTTTTGGTATTAGGATAATGCTGGCCTCATAGGATGATTTCAAAAGCATATCCTCTACTTTCACTTTCTGGAAGAGGATGTATAGATTGGTTTTCTTTCTTTCTTTCTTAAATGCCTGGCAGAATTTGTCAGTAAAACTAAATGGACCTAGAGATTTGTGTTTGTTTTCTTTTGTGTACTTTTTGTTTGGATAAATTTGAAACTACAACTCCACCATAGAAAATATACAAATGAAAAGCATGTATATGAAAAGGTGCTCTGCCTCACTAGTTGTCAGAATAATACAAATCAAAACCAAAATGAAAAGCTGCCAGGAAGTTTGAACTTGGCAGAGCCCACCACAGTTCAGCAAAGCCACTGTAGCCAGACTGCCTCTCTAGATTCCTCCTCTCTGCGCAATGCATCTGTGAAAGAAACGCAGCAGCCCCAGTCAGGGGCTTTTAGATAAAACTCCCATCTCCCTGAGACAGAGCACTTGGGGGAAGGGGAGGCTGTGGGTGCAATGTCAGCAGACTTAAACATTTCTGCCTGCCAGCTCTGAAGAGAATGGCAGATCTCCCAGCACAGCAGTCAAGCTCTGCCAAGGAACAGACTGCCTCCTCAAGTGGGTCCCTGACCCCCGTGCCTCCTGACTGGGAGACACCTCCCACCAGGGGTCGAGAGACACCTCATACAGGAGAGCTCTAGCTGGCATCTGGCAGGTGTCCCTCTGGGACAAAGCTTCCAGAGGAAGGAACAGGCAGCAACATTTGCTTTTCTGCAGCCTCTGCTGGTGATACCCAGGCAAAGGGAGTCTGGAGTGGACCTCCAGCAAACTCCAGCAGAACTGCAGCAGAGGTGCCTAACTGTTAGAAGGAAAACTAACAAACAGAAAGGAATAGCATCAACGTCAACAAAAAGGACATCCCCACAGAAACCCCATTAGAAGCTCACCAACATCTAAGACCAAAGGTAGATAAATCCACGAAGATGAGGAAAACCAGTGCAAAAAGGCTGAAAATTCCAAAAACCAGAACACCTCTTCTCCTGCAAAGGATCACAACTCCTTGCCCGCAAGGGAACAAATCTGGATGGAAAATAGTTTGACGAATTGACAGAAGTAGGCCTCAGAAGGTGGGTAATAACAAACTCCTCCTAGCTAAAGGAGCATGTTCTAACCCAATGCAAGGAAGCTAAGAACCTTGAAAAAAGGTTAGATGAGTTGCTAACTAGAATAACCAGTTTAGAGAAGATCACAAATGACCTGATGGAGCTGAAAAACACAGCATGAGAACTTTGTGAAGCATACACAAGTATCAATAGCTGAATTGATCAAGCAGAAGAAAGGATATCAGAGATTGAAGATCAACTTAATGAAATAAAGAATGAAGACAAGATTAGAGAAAAAAAGAACGCAAAGGAACAAACAAAGCCTCCAAGCAATATGAGACTATGTGAAAAGACAAAAACCTATGTTTGATTGGTGTACCTGAAAGTGATGAGGAGAATGGAACCAAGTTGGAAAACACTCTTTAGGATATTATCTAGGAGAACTTCCCCAACCTAGCAAGACAGATCAACATTCAAATTCAGAAAATACAGAGAACACCACAAAGATACTCCTTGAGAAAAGCAACCCCAAGACACATAATCGTCGATTCACCAAGGTTGAAATGAAAGAAAAAAATGTTAAGGGCAGCCACAGAGAAAGGTCGGGTTATCCACAAAGGGAAGCCCATTAGACTAACAGTGGATCTCTCTGCAGAAACCCTACAAGCCAGAAGAGAGTGGGGGCCAATATTCAACATTCTTAAAGCAAAGAATTTTCAACCAAGAATTTCGTATCCAGTCAAACTAAAGTTCATAAGCGAAGGAGAAATAAACTCCTTTATAGACAAGCAAATGCTGAGAGATTTTGTCTCCATCAGGCCTGCCTTACAAGAGCTCCTGAAGGAAGTAGTAAGTATGAAAAGGAAAAACCATTACCAGCCACTACAAAAACATACCAAATTTGTAAACCTCATCGACACTATGAAGAAACTGCATCAACTAACAGGCAAAATAAACAGCTAGAATCATGACAGGATCAAATTCACACATAACAATATTAACCCTAAATGTAAATGCGTTAAATGCCCCAATTAAATGACACAGACTGGTAAATTTCATAAAGAGTCAAGACCCATCACTGTGCTGTATTCAGGAGACCATCTCACCTGCAAAGACACACATAGGCTCAAAATAAAGGGATGAAGTGTGGTTCACACCTGTAATCCCAGCACTTTGGGAGGCTGAGGTGGGCAGATCATGAGGTCAAGAGATCCAGACCGTCCTGGCTAACATGGTGAAACCCCGTTTCTACTAAAAAATAGAAAAAATTAGCCAGGCATGGTGGCGGGTGCCTGTAGTCCCAGCTACTCAGGAGGCTGAGGCAGGAGAATGGTATGAACCTGGGAGGTGGAGCTTGCAGTGAGCCGAGATCATGCCACTGCACTCCAACCTGGGCAACACAGCGAGACTTCATCTCCAAAAAAAAAAAAAAAAAAAAAGGATGGAGGAATATTTACTAAGCAAATGGAAAGAAAAAAAAATCAGGTGTTGCAATCCTGGTCTCTAATAAAACAGACTTTAAACCAACAAAGATAAAAGGAGACAACGAAGGACATTATGTAATGGTAAAGGGATCAATGCAACAAGAAGAGATAGCTATCCTAAATATATATGCCCTCAATACAGGAGCATCCAGATTCATAAAGCAAATTCTTAGAGACCTACAAAGAGACTTAGATTCCCACACAATAATAATGGGAGACTTTAACACCCCACTGTCAATATTAGACAGATCAATGAGACAGAAAATTAAGGATATTCAGGACTTCAACTCAGCTATAGACCAAGCAGACCTAATAGACATCTACAGAACTCTCCCCACCAAGTCAACAGAATATACATTCTTCTCAGCACCATGTTGCACTTATTTTAAAATCGACCACATGATTGGAAAGAAAACACTCCTCAGCAAATGCAAAAGAATGGAAACCATAACAAACAGTCTCTCAGACCACAGTGCAATCAAATTACAACTCAGAATTAAAAATCTCACAGCACAACTACATGGAAACTGAACAAACTGCTCCTGAATGACTACTGGGTAAATAATGAAATTAAGGAAGAAATAAAGAAGTTCTTTGAAACCAATGAGAACAAAGATACAATGTACCAGAATTTCTGGGACACAGCTAAAGCAGTGTTTAGAGGGAAATTTATAGCACTAAATGCCCACAGGAGAAAGCAGGAAAGATCTAAAATTGACACCCTAACATCACAATTAAAATAACTAGAGAAGCAAGAGCAAACAAATTCAACAGCTAGCAGAAGACAAGAAATAACTAAGATCATAGTGGAACTGAAGGAGAGACATGAAAAACCCTTCAAAAAAATCAATGAATCCTGGAGCTGGTTTTTTTGAAAAGATTAACAAAATAGACCACTAACCAGACTAATAAAAAAGAAAAGAGAGAAGAATCTAATAGACACAATAAAAAATGATAAAGGGGCTATCACCACTGATCCCACAGAAATACAAACTACCGTCAGAGAATACATAAGCACCTATATGCAAATAAACTAGAAAATCTAGAAGAAATAGATAAATTCCTGGAAATATACACACTCCCAAGACTAAATCAGGAAGAAGTCAAATCCCTGAATAGAACAATAACAAGTTCTGAAATTGAGGCAGTAATTAATAGCCTACCAACCAAAAAAAAATAAAAATAAAAAAGCCCAGGACCAGACAGATTCACAGCTGGATTCTACCAGAGGTACAAAGAGGAGCTGGTACCACTCCTTCTAAAACTATTCCAAACAACAGAAAAAGAGGTACTTCTCCCTAACTCATTTTATGAGGCCAGCATCATCCTGATACCAAAATCTGGCAAAGACACAACAAAAACAGAAAATTTCAGATCAATATCCTTTGATGAACATTGATGCCAAAATCCTCAACAAAATACTGGCAAACCAAATCCAGCAACATATCAAAAAGCTGATCCACCTGGATCAAGTCAGCTTCATCCCTGGGATGCAAGGCTGGTTCAACATATGCAAATCAATAAACATAATCCATCATATAAACAGAACCAATGACAAAAACCACATGATTATCTCAATAGATGCAGAAAAGGCCTTCAATAAAATTCAGCACCCCTGCATGCTAAAAACTCTCAAAAAACTAGGTATTCATGGAACGTATCTCAAAATAATAGGAGCTATTTATGACAAACCCACAGCCAATATCATACTGAATGGGCAAAAGCTGGAAGCATTCCCTTTGAAAACCAGCACAAGACAAGGATGCTGTCTCTCACCACTCCTATTCAACATAGTCTTGGAAGTTCTGGCCAGGGAAATCAGGAAAGAGAAAGAAATAAAAGATATTCAAATAAGAAGAGAGGAAGTCAAGTTGTCTCTGTTTGCAGATGACATGATTGTATATTTAGAAAACCCCATCGTCTCAGGCCAGAATCTCCTTAAGCTAATAAGCAACTTCAGCAAAGTCTCAGGATACAAAATCAATGTGCAAAAATCATAAGCATTCCTATACACCAATAACAGGCAAAAAGCCAAATCATGAGTGAACTCCCATTCACAATTGCTACAAAGAGAATAAGATACCTAGGAATACAACTTACAAGGGATGTGAAGGACCTCTTTAAGGAGAACTACAAACTACTGCTCAAGGAAATAAGAGAGGACACAAACAAATGGAAAAACATTCCATGCTCATGGGTAGGAACAATCAATATCGTGAAAATGGCCATACTGCCCAAAGTAATTTACAGATTCAATGCTATCCCTATCAAACTACCATTGACTTTCTTCACATAATTAGAAAAAAACTGCTTTAAATTTCATATGGAGCCAAAAAAGAGCCCATATAGCCAAGATAATCCTAAGCAAAGAGAACAAAGCTGGAGGCATCACACTACCTGACTTCAAACTATATTACAAGGCTACAGTAACCAAAACAACATGGTACTGGTACTAAAACAGATATATAGACCAATGGAAAAGAACAGAGGCCTCAGAAATAATGCCACACATCTACAACCATCTGATCTTTGGCAAGCCTGAGAAAAACAAGCAATGGGTAAAGGATTCCCTAGTTAATAAGTGGTGTTGGGAAAACTGGCAGCCATATGTAGAAAACTGAAACTGGACCCCTTCCTTACACCTTATACAAAAATTAACTCAAGATGGATTAAAGACTTAAATGTAAGACCTAAAACCATAAAAACCCTAGAAGAAAACCTAGGCAATACCATTTAGGACATAGGCATGGGCAAAGACCTCATGACTAAAACACCAAAAGCAATGGCAACAAATGCCAAAATTGACAAATGGGATCTAATTAAACTAAAGAGCTTCTGCACAGCAAAAGGAACTATCATCAGAGTGAACAGGCAACCTACAGAATGGGAGATAATTTTTGCTATCTATCCATCTGACAATGGGCTAATATCCAGAATCTACAAAGAACTTAAACAAATTTACAAGAAAAAAAAGCAAACAACCCCATCAAAAATGGGCAAAGTATATGAACAGACACTTCTCAAAAGAAGACATTTATGTGGTTAACAAATATATGAAAAAAGCTCATCATCACTGGTCATTAGAGAAATGCAAATCAAAACCACAATGAGATACAATCTCAGGCCAGTTAGGATGGCAATCATTAAAAAGTCAGGAAACAACAGATGCTGGAGAGGATGTGAAGAAATAGGAAAGCTTTTACACTGTTGGTGGGAGTGTAAATTAGTTCAACCATTGTAGAAGACAGTGTGGCAATTCCTCAAGCATCTAGGATTAGAAATATCATTTGACCCAGCAATCCCATTACTGGGTATATACCCAAAGGATTATAAATCATTCTACTATAAAGACACATGCACACCTATGTTTATTGCAGCACTGTTCACAATAGCAAAGACTTGGAACCAACCCAAATGCCCATCAGTGATAGACTGGATAAAGAAAATGTGGCACACATACACCATGGAATAATATGCAGCCATAAAAAAAGGATGAGGTGATGTCCTTTGCAGGGACATGGATGAAGCTGGAAACGATCATTCTCCACAAAGGAACACAGGAACAGAAAACCAAACACAGCATATTCTGACTCATAAGTGGGAGTTGAACAATGAAATCACATGGACACAGGGAGAGGAACATCACACACCAGGGCCTGCTGCCAAGTCTGTCCCACAGACTCTGGCCAAGCAACAGATGACAGTAGTACTCAGACACAGGTGACTGTGAAAAAGTGGGCTAGGGGACTGCCGGCACTAGGGGCCGAAGACAGTCAGCAGTCCCCTTAAGCCAGCGATGTTCACCTTTATTTAGTATAGATTTAATGACAAAGGCTTGGAACAAACACAATTTGTAGGTAATTAACATTGTTGACCCCCTGAGTAGAGAGCAGTCTTGCATGCAAATGATCAAAGGTTGGTTTCTGAAGACAGGAGTAAACAAATTTATCCAGATCAGTTCCTTTACATTCCCTTGTTACATTCCTAGCCTTTGCTCTCAGGCTCCAGATAAGAGAATTTGGCTGCCTTCAGCCATAATTTCCTTCTGAAGCTTTTGCAAAACCTCCCGGCCTTCCAAGAAGGTTTGTATCTTTCCTGAAATTTATCCCACCACCCTAACCGATCTCCTTCAGGGACCTGTTCATGGGTGGGGTGCTAGGGGAGGGATAATATTAGGAGAAATACCTAATGTAGATGATGAATTGACTGGTGCAGCAAACCACCATGGCACGTGTACACCTATGTAACAAGCCTGCACATTCTGCACATGTATCCCAGAACTTAAAGTATAAAAATAATAATAATAGTAAATGAGATCCTGTCATTTGCAATAACATGGATGGAACTAGAGCTCATTACGGTAAGTGAAATAAGCCAGGCACAGAAAGACGAACATCGCATGTTCTCACTTATTTGTGGGATCTAAAAATCAAAATAATTGAACTAATGAAGATGGAGAGCAGAGAGATGGTTACCAGAGAATGGGAAAAGCAGAGAGAGGTTGGGGTTCGGGGAAGGAGATGGGGATGGTTAATCAGGTACAAAAAAATCATTAGAAAGAATGAATAAGACCTAGTATTTGATAGCACAATAGAGTGACTATAGTCAACTGTAATTTATTTGTACATTTAAAAATAACTAACAGTATAATTGCATTGTTTGTAACACACAAGATAAATACTTCAGGGAATTGATACCCCATTTTACATGATGTGATTATTACACATTGCATGGCTGTATGAAAACATCTCATGTTCCCCATAAATATATACGCCCACAATGTACCCACAAAAATAAAAACAAAAGTTTAAAAAGTTTTTTAAGTTACATTTTATTTTTGATTAGCATATAAAAATTGTACATAATTATGGGGGCAATGTGATGTTCTGATATATGTATATATTGGATAATAATCAAATCGGGGTAACTCATTGTGGTTTTGATTTGTGTTTCCCTAATGAGTAACGTTTTCATGTGCTTATTGGCCATTTGTATGCCTTCTTTGGAGAAATGCCAGGCACATCTTTTGTGTTTTTATTATTGAGTTGTCATAGATTCTGTATATTCCGAGTACAAGTTCTTTATTATCTATGTGATTTGCCTTGATGAAGTATGATTTATCTGTTTTTGTTCCTTTTTTTCCTTGTGCTTATGGTGTTATATCTAAGTCTTTTTGATTAACAATGTCAAAAAGTTTTACTTCTATATTTTCTTCTAAGGGTCTCATAGTTTTAGCTCTTATCTTTGGTTCTAGGATCTACTTTTTGCTAACTTCTATTCACGAATTTTCTTCTGTACCCCTATCAAAAATCAATTGACCACAAATGTAAGGATTTTATTTCTGGACTCTGAATACTAGTCCATTGGTTGATATATTTATTTTTATGCCAATATCATGCCATCTTATTTTTGTAGTTTTGTACTAAGTTTAGAATCAGGAACTCTCACATTTTTCTTCAAGACTGCTTTGACTATGCTGGGATCTTTGTATTTTCATATGAATTTGAGGATCCAGTTTTCAATTTCTGATGGAAAGGCATCTAGATTTTATTTGCATTAAGTTTATAGATCTGCTGTATTTTCTTATATGATTATAAGTACCCTCTATATGTCAGTGAATCCCAAATCTCTACACTTAATCCGTATATATCTTAGGAATTCTAGACCTGTTTATATGACTGCCTACTTGGCTGTGTTTGAAGCATCTCAAACTTACCATGCTTCACTCTTGCTGTTTTTCTTCATTACCTGGACCTCCTCTAGCTTTCTCCCTCCCAGTCAATGGCACTCCTATTTACCTAGTGGATTATGCCTGTGTATTAGAGCAAATTCCCTTGGCTGTAGATGATTTAGACATAAAAAGCTTCATTTTTCTCATGGAAATAAAGGCTAAAGGTATGCAGGCCTGGGATGACATGGTCCAAGTTGACTACTAAAGTTACAATTTCACATTTTATTTCTAGATAGAAGGGTTTAGAAAAAAAAGAATAAGGTCTTGATGTCATCCTTTAAAGGAAACATGTCAGAAGGCCCCAACACTTCCACTTATATTTTACTGGTCAGTCGTCAGCAAGATGCACGACCATATATAGCTGAAAGTGAGACAGAAACACATAGATCTTATCTGGATCTCCTGGCACATCAAATAAATTTCAGGTTCTATTGTTAAGAAGAAAGGGAGAAGGTGAATATTGGGATAAGAAACTAGAGGACTCTACCACTGCTTACATTTTTACAATCAACCTGTAAAAATCTTTTCCTTTTTTTCCCTTTTCATCCAAACTGTCAACAAATCGTGTTTAGTTTACTTTTCAATACTGTATTAAATCAGTTCACCTTTGCTCTCTAATGCCCTTACATTCAAGCTATCATCATATTTGCTGGCGGCAACAACTGGTTATCTCTCTATTTCTGCTCTTTGCCCCCTATATTCCCCAAATATCTATCACAGCAACATGTTACAAAATGTAAATCTGATAACGTTGTTTTGTAGCTTTAGACTTCCCTGTGGTTCTCATTGCTCTTAGCATCTTTGGAGTTACCTAAGAGTCCTTTCATGGATTGGACCCTACCTATATCTCCAGGCTTAACTCATACTGAGAGGTGACAACGTGCTGGCAGTCCTCACGGCCGTCGCTCCCTCTCGGCGCCTCGTCTGCCTGGGCTCCCACTTTGGCGGCACTTGAGGAGCCCTTCAGCCCGCCGCTGCACTTGTGGAAGCCCCTTTCTGGGCTGGCCAAGGCCGGAGCCGGCTCCCTCAGCTTGCGGGGAGGTGTGGAGGGAAAGGCGCGGGCGGGAACCAGGGCTGCGCGCGGTGCTTGCGGGTCAGCGCGAGTTCCGGGTGGGCGTGGCCTCCGCGAACGCCGCGCTCGGAGCGGCCGGCTACCCCGCCGGCCCGGGCAGTGAGGGGCTTAGCACCTGGGCCAGCAGCTGCTGTGCTCAATTTCTCCCCGGGCCTTAGCTGCCTTCCCGTGGGGCAGGGCTCGGGACCTGCAGCCCGCCATGCCTGAACCTCCCCCCGCTCCTCCGTGGGCTCCTGTGCGGCCTGAGCCTCCCCGACGAGCGCCGCCCCCTGCTCCACGCACCCAGTCCCATCGACCACCCAAGGGCTGAGGAGTGCGGGCGCACAGCCTGGGACTGGCAGGCAGCTCCACCTGCAGCTCTCCTGCGGGATCCACTGGGGGAAGCCAGCTGGGCTTCTGAGTCTGGTGGGGACGGTAGAGAACCTTTATGTCTAGCTCAGGGATTGTAAATACACCAATGGGCACTCTGTATCTAGCTCAAGGTTTGTAAACACCCCAGTCAGCACCCTGTGTCTAGCTCAGGGTTTGTGAATGCGCCAATTGACACTCTGTATCTAGCTACTCTGGTGGGGACTTGGAGAACCTTCCTGTCCACACTCTGTATCTAGCTAATCTAGTGGGGATGTGGAGAACCTTTGTGTCTAGCTCAGGGATTGTAAACGCACCAATCAGCACCGCCAAAACAGACCACTGGGCTCTCTGTGAAATGGGCCAATCAGCAGGATGTGGGTGGGGCCAATAAGAGAATAAAAGCAGGCTGCCCGAGCCAGCAGTGGCAACCCGCTCGGGTCCCCTTCCACAGTGTGGGAACTTTGTTCTTTCACTCTTTGCAATAATTCCTGCTACTGCTCACGCTTTGGGTCCACACTGCGTTTATGAGCTATAATACCGCGAGGTCTGCAGCTTTACTCCTGCCTGAGCCAGCTAGACCACGAACCCACCAGAAGGAAGAAACTCCGAACACATCCGAACATCAGAAGGAACAAACTCCAGACGCGCCACCTTAAGAGCTGTAACACTCACCGCGAGGGTTCGCAGCTTCATTCTTGAAGTAAGTGAGACCAAGAACCCACCAGTTCAGGACACAATACCACATACTGTTCACATTCTCTGATTCAGCCACGTGGACTTTTTCTCAGTTCCTCACACACATTGTGCTTCCTGCTACAGGGTCCTTGCACATACCATTGCTTCTGTTAGAATGCATTTTCCTCCTCTGTCTGACTACTTAAAATGTATGCCTTTTATCTTTCTACTCACTCTTATGAGGTCAAATTCTCCTATTATGAGCTCCCGCAGCTTCTCTCCTATGAAATATATAGCACTGTGGTCATTTTACATTTACATGATGATTTTCTATTTGTTCCTTAGTAAGCTCCCTGGAGGCAGACTTGATGTCTTTATGTGCTCTGTTCTTAAAATAACATTTGATATTTGGTATAATCAATAAATATTGGTTCAATGAATGAATGAAATGAATTGAAGAGATCATGGAGAAAAGAGAATCAATTTTTTAGTTTCAAAAATATAAAACTAGGACTAATATATTGATGTTATAAAAAGTAACTTTGTTGAAAGCAAAAGAACATTATTATACATAGAAATGCTCTACAACTTAAAAAAAAATTTGTTCCATGACGAGCTCTCAGGAGATCCTGAGAACATGTGTCTACCCTGTGTCTTGATAGCGGTAACTTATCTTGTGAATTCATTCATTCACCAAATAGTTGTTGAGAATCTAATGCACCCCCTGTCACTTGCTAGTTGTATGAACTTGGTAAGGCAGTAAGTTTTCGGGTTCAATTTCCTCATTTCCTTATACAATAATAATTGATTTCCCAGGACTCTTTTCAGACAGTTTGCTAAAGTCTACACCTGATATTTTTGTTTCATGACTCTCCTCATCTATTCATTAATTTACTGGTAATAAAAGATTTGCCTTTGAGGTTTATATCTCTCTGACTTAGACAGTTATGCATGAGTGGATTCTTTCTTCATATGGGTAATTTGCTGCCACCCTAATGAGCTCTGCTAGGTGTTTGATAAAATATAGCATTGAACAAATTGGAGTTGGTTTCTGATATCATGAAAGACATAGTGTAGTGGGAATGGAGGAAGATGTAAAAGAATCACAAAATAATTAAATGCTAAATTGGAACAGGCCTTGTGAGGGTCAAGTTAGGGAATACGCTGTGAACGTGTAGGAGACTAGTTTAGGTGTGGATCTGAGGTAATTTCTCCAGGAAAGTAATATTCTAACAAAGATTTGGAGGATAAATAAAGAGTTGGACAAACAAAGAATGAGAGAAAACACACTCTGGGCAGGACTGTGAAGATTCCCAGGTAAATGAAAGCTTGTGGTGACTTTCCAGAAGATCGGGGAGGCTGCCACGAGCTGAGACTACTAAGAATATTTACTATGTCTCACCTCAGTCCCACTTTTCATGTGACATACTTTCCAGATTCCATTCAATTGGATTCCTTCAATGTTCCTTCTAAACAGGCCCCAAGGATTTGATACAGTTCCTCTGCAGTGCTATGATAAATGCAAAAAACATTGGAACATTGTCTTAGTTCAGGTTCCTATAACAAAGTACCATAGACCATGTGGCTTATAAACAACAGAAATTTATTTCTCACAGTTCTGGAGTTCTTAGAAGCCCAAGATCTGGATGGCAGCATGGTCAAGTTTTGGCGAGGGCCCCCTTGCAAGTTGCAAACTGACTACTTCCTGTTATAGTCCCACATAGTGGAAAGAGAATGAGAGAGCTCTTTGGGGTCTCTCTCATAAGGGCACCCATCCCATTAATGAGGGCTCTACCCTCATGACATAATCACCCCCCAAGTGCCCCACCTTCTAATACCATCACATTGATAATTAGGATTTCAGCATGTGAATTTTGTGGGGACAAAAACATTCAGTCCATTGCAGCCATTTTTCCTTTTTGCCTAGGAAAGTTAAATTTCCGTTAATGTAATCTGAGTGAACATTTGCATTTTTAACAACTTCATCACTGTTGTGCTTGTGGCCAATTAAGTCCTTAGAGTCTTTATCAAGTAAATGAATGTTAGGGCAGTTATGTAATTTGAATTAACATTTGAGCCTAATATAATTTTAAACATATCATTGCTAGTTTCAAGTTTTTGTTATATGTTGTAGTATTTTGTTCTTGAGATAATTCTTAACCTATTGCATTCTGCTTTGTTCATCACTGATATCAATAGATACTGCATACTTGATACATATTAAGCCTAATTACATACATTTTGTTCCGGAGAAATAATATACATGGTGAAAAGTAAGCAATAAAATGATGGCAAGTATGTTAATGGAAAGAAAGCATCTGCTATGTGTAACTTTCTAAGTCAGGTGTGATTGTAATGTCAAAGACAGGCCTTTATTTCCAGGGAATTAATGAACAGATAAAGAGGGCCATGAAACAAAAAATAGAAAAACAAAATGATGTGGTGATTTTTTGTCAAAGCAATGACAACAGATGGGCTGAAAACTTTCTTGAGGGATCGGTCATCTTCATTTGAAGTGTTTCATGGTTATTTGAAAGCCAAAACTAACCTGACTGGAGTATTGTATGTAAGAGAGTGTATGTGTGTATTTCTTCAAACAAAAGAAGGGAGTTAAAGACTTATATCCAGAGTTTTTCATAGTTAAGTGTTTAAACAGTGAAGTGTTTCTAGGGAGTCTAGGTGCACCATGCTTCATACTTGGAGAATTCTCACCAAGATGATTTGTGAGCCAGTGTAGTGTTCACATGTAACACTGGAAAGATCAACATCCACGAGCTTATTTGCAGTCTGGACAATGTTAGGCACTTGTCACAATCTTGGCCCCAAATGTGATTTCTGGGAGGCACAATTTTAGGAGACATCATTGAATTTTTCCAGTGTCCATGGACCAATGTCTGCACCACAGAATCAGAGCCTGGAAGATCTCTGTTTCAACTAGTGAATCCAGTTTTTCCACTGCACAGTGAGGCTACATCTAACTGGTAAACCAAAGACACATGAGACCCATGCCTTTTCTGAGAAATCTCTGGAGCATATTTCACAAACTCAACCGGCCATTCATTCTTGTGTCAAGTGAGTCCTGCTTGTTAAGAAATTTTTCCTTGTGCTTAACCTCTGAAAGTCTGCGACTAAGCGAGCTTTCACTATTTTGTCAAGTGGAGAAAAGAAAAAATTTGGAAACCATATAATCAGGGCCATTAAGTCCCTTTCACCTTTGTCCCCTCTGGTTTACAAAATAAGTTCAGGTTCTTTCACTTTCTCTGATTGTCATATATCTATGTTTATCGTTTCTTGGTGGTCTGGAACATTCTCACATTTTTTGCTTACACCTGGGAAACTTGTTTCCTTTACTCACAGGCTAATGTTCTTTCTTGTTCACCTCAATTAGTTCCCCTTTACATCTCTAGTGCACCTAGCATTTCTAGAATACAAAATTTAGAAAAGTAAGTGTTTATAGTAATACTGTTATTTGGCAGAAAATGATAGTTCTTAGGAGAAAAGTAAATTGTTTTATTTTAAAGCCTTGAGAGTGAGAATCAAAACTGTGATGGGATTCTCATCCCTCTGAGGCAAGTATGTTCTACACTCTCTGTCATTCTCTAGGCAGGAGTATGAACCAAGGTGAGTTTGTAGATTTTCCCGGTCTTGGTTTAGGGTTTTTGGTGATGCAAACACTAATCATCATGGCCATCCAATGCTAGTTCCAGTGAGGGATTGCTGGTTTCGACCTGTGCTCTGTAAGTGCATCCTACAACAAAGAACACTCCTCACCTGCTTAAACATACACTCTGTATCTTTATTTACAATGTTAACATGACCAATCTTATTGGGAGCTTATAACATGCAATGCATTTTGCTAAAAGCCTTACATAGATTACATAATTTAATTTTCTCAACAGTGCTACCAGGTGAGTACTCTTTTCCCATACATTTTACTGATGAGAAAATTGAGTCATAGAAGTTTAGGTAGCTTTCCCAAGGTCAACATCTGAAAACTGGCAAAGCTAAGCTTTGAGTTCATGTCTTTTTTATCTACAGCCATGAATGTAAACATTTTGTCTTCTTGTTCCTTCTGCATATTAAAGTGCTTCCTGTTTGTAATAGATTGATGGTAAAAAAAAAATGGTCTCTCTTTTTAAAAAAAAAAATATCGTAGAGATAGGAATCTCATTATGTTGCACAGGCTGGTCTCAAATTCCAGGGCTCAAGGGATCCTCCCTCCTTGGCCTCCCAAAGTGCTGGGATTACAGGTGTGAGCCACTGTGACTGTGCCTGACCAAATGATTCCATTTTTTTTTTACCCCTCTCTGTATCCAGAGCCTTTGCAATGCTACATTGTAGCTTCTCCATTCAAGAGCTGGGGTTCACTTCCCCACTCTCCCATCCTTGTGATTGTTTTTGACCAATAGAATGCAGCAGTATTAATAGTGTGGAACTTTCAAGTCTATGACTCACTCAAGAGATCTTGTGCTATTCCACTATTCCCCTTGGGAACCTGCCTAGTTGCCATGTAAATAAGCTCAGATGAGCCTGCTAAGAAATAAGATGCATGGTGGAAGATATCCCAGTTGTCCCATCAGAAGAAGGACTTTTAGAAGAAGGTAAGTGAGAAAAGTCAGAGATGGCAGGGGAAGAAGCTAAGCAAGTGTTATCATAGCTAGACATTAGTTTCAGCCTGATCCAATGGGGAACACTAGACCATGAATTGCACCATAGAGTTGGTTCCACTTTGAGGCAGGTTGAATACACCCATGCATCTGCCCTTGCATGTATGTCTATGTGTAGTGTATATGTGTGCTTGGCTCCCCAAGCATTAGCAAAGAGCAATTCTTTTGAGAAGAGGGAAACTGTGGGACACATCTGAGGGAGGGATACATTGGTCCACTGAAGGGAACTTGGCAGGGCACCTTTAGCTTTTCCTGAAGTTTACTTGGGAAGAAGTAAAATCACAGACTTTTCTTGTCCAGGAACTCACAAGGTGAAGAAAGTCAGCTGCATCCACGCTGTCTATGGTAAAATAAAAAACAGTTGACTCAATATATATATTGAGCAATGAGAATATATATATAAGGGAAAAGTTGTATGATAGAAAATACATATCTGTATACACACATATATAATATGCAATTTTCCCTTTGTATCAAGGTGGGATTGGTTTCATGACCTCCTGTGAATGCTCAAGTTCCTGGAGGGGCAACTGTATATATGCACACACAAAAACATATATACATGTACATGACAATATATAAGTACCACTTCCACAGGCAAATACACAGAAGCACACATATCCCGATATATATAGAATAAGTCTGAAATACATCAAATATAAACTGTGATTATCAAAACCTTTTGGGATTAAATATATTTTGTTTTCTTTATGATTTTCTTCATTTTCAAACTTTCTTAGCTGAGCACGTATAGATTTAATAATTACAAAGAAACAGAAAAATGTTGGAGAACGTAATGTAGATCCCAACTATGCAAAGCATCATAAAATTTTAAAGCCTTTTATATACATTATGACATGCATTGCCGTGTTGGAGTCACAAGACCCCTTAGTAGATAGTGAGATAAAAACGTTGTTTTAGAAGTCTTCTTCCTGTGAAATCTCTGTGAATATGTCTTTGACTTCTGGAAGGGGCCAGTTTCAATTAGAGGCCATTCTGGTGACCGTAGTGAGTGACCTTGCACGTAGCTCCCTAGAGCTTTAAGCAAGTATAAATAGAGCTGCCATGTTGGTCAGCCCCTTAAACATTTTAGGTTTTTTATTTTTCATGTAACATGAAACTTGAAAATTTTTATGCAAATTTGGACTAGTCTTTGGAGACTTCTCCAGATCTAAATTTTGGGGATTCTGAGTCAATGTAGATTCAACCAATAAATGACTTTCAGAACACTCACGGGGTGATGACGTTATTGACAAAGGATAAATGAGAATCTTTCCTTTAGGCATCAGAAGCAAACTTAGAGCAAAGGGTCATAGGATAGCTCCGTTTACAGTAAGAAAAAAACCTTCCAGTGTTTACTAAAGACTACCCTTAGTGGTTGTACTTGTTGCTTGAATTGGGATTTTTCCACTGCTGTTAAAAACACTCAGAATGAGAAGGACCTGTATGCCTGCTTTCCTGCTCTCTGGTCAGCTTGAAGGGACAAATGGAAATTTTGCTAAGACACAGCTCTGTAGAGGGGAAGGACCCAGAAGAGAAAGTGTGTGGGAAGAGGTGAGAAGTCAATGATCCAAATTCTTGGTCTCTGGAGGCAAATGGCAAGCCTTGTCTGTGGAGACAGCTTCACCAAGATCATCTACATTGTCTTCCAGAGCTTAAACCCATCTCTAAGCTGCAGGTGTTCAATTTTGTCTTCAGGCCACGTGTTTCCTATAAACCTGAGACTTAAACATTCAATTATCAATTTAGTACTTCTACTTAGATGTCTCATAGGCATCTCTAGCTTAGTATGGCCAAACAGAGTCCTTAGTTTCCCCTTCGAGCCTGGCTCTCCTCACCTTTTCCATCTCTGTAAACAGCTCTACCATCGACCCAGTTACCAAAGCCAGAAGCCTGAGAGTCATTCTTGACTTCTCCCTTTCCGTCATCCCCCACATCCAATTCATCAGCAGGCCCTGTCAATTCTCTCTCCAAAATATACCTCATGCTCATCTATTTTTCTCAATCTTGAGAACTCCCTGTCTATATAAACCATCATCATGTCTTATCCAGACTTCTGCAATCGTCTAAAGATTGGGTTATTTGTTTCTGCTCTTGCCTCAACAATTTATACTCCACATCACAGCCAGAAGGACCTTTTAAAACCTTAAATTCATGTTATGTCACTTCTCTGCTTAAATCCATTGTTCTTAGAATAAAAACTGTGCTCCTATTTATGACCTATAAATGCCCTCGTGATCTGGATCTTTCTCCTCCTCATCTTCAGCTACCATTCTTTTTCTGAAAATATTTAGGAGGCTTGTTTTAAAGTCTCAAAACATACCCACTTATTTAGGCTACAAGGTGTTTCTCTACTCTCTTCTCTGCCTGGAATATTTTTTTCTTCATTGATCAGATCTTGTTGTGGTTTGTCTCTTCTATCAGCGCTCAGCTTAAGTTTTGCTTCAACAAAACGGCCTTACTCTCATTCTGTACCATAATTCCCTGTTAATTTTTCTTGTAGCACTAATAAAAATCAATTATCATCTATTTATTGATTTATTTGTGAATAGCCAGTCTCCCTCATTTGAGCATAAGCTCTCAGAAGATAGGCACTTTACCCCTACACAGTGCTTGGTTCATAATAGGCACTTGGTAAGTCTTTCTCAAATGTATGAATAGGGCTGGGCATCATGGCTCACATCTGTAATCCCAGCACTTTGGGAGGCCAAGGCAGGAGAATTGCTTGAGCTCAGGAGTTTCAGACCAGCCTGGGCAACATGGTGAAACCTCATCTCTACAAAAAAATACAAAAATTACCCTGGCATGGTGGCACACACCTGTAGTCTCAGCTACTTGGCAGGCTGAGGTGGGAGGACCACTTGAGACCAGGAGGTGGAGGCTGCAGTGAGCCGATATTGCACCACTGCATTCCAACCTGACAATGTGAGACTCTGTCTCAATAAAAAAACCCAAAACAGCTACAAGAAAACAAACAAATACATGGATAGATATGTGGACTTGGGCCTCAACTGGTAGAAGATGCAAGCATATTTTTGACCATAATGGCAGGATCACAGAATGGGGAGTAATAGCTTTAGAAGTGACTACTATGAAGATAGTTCTCAATTGGAAGATAGTTCTTAACTGGATTCATAACCATTATAGAGTTTAGCTGAAGAAAAAAAATATGATTAGTTCATGATAAGACATCTATCTGTGTAATACCTGCTGAATGGAATGGATTCCAGATCAGTAGTGACAGCTAATGTTTTGCTGGCATATTTTCAGAGAAATTTTTGGTCCACTCTTCTGCTCCTGAATCTATGTGTCAAATAACCCTCCTACTAGCCTGTGCAGGGAATTCAACACAGAGTTCTAAACTCAGCTTTTCTCAAAAGTATTCATGTGACTTGAGCAGTCAATGAACTTCCAACCCTCAATGTTTTATTTATAAAATAATGGTGACAGGGAAATTGGAAAATATTTTTCTCCTGTTTACTCTTAATTCTAATGTTTAATGATTTCAGGAGACAGATTTATTATCCTTTAATCTACAGATAAGCCCTAAGGTGTAGCATGTTTTTTCTAAGCACTCTTGTGCTTTGTGTACTTCCTCCAGCTTTTTTTGCCATCTATACAATTACTGATTAGCATCCTTCTTTAAATTGACTCACTTTTATTTTGCTTACCATGTCACTGCTGTATATGAAAAACACAGAATGAATTGTTATAATTTAAATTATAATTAAAAAATTAAGAACATATTAAAACTAAATATAATAATTAGTTGTATAGCTTTAGTAATAAATTTATCCTTAACTCCTTATATAATAGAAAAACATTGTTTAAAAGTTGCAGACTGGCCACGCGTGGTGGCTCACGCCTGTAATCCCAGCACTTTGAGAGGTCGAGGCGGGCAGATTGCGAGTTCAGGAGATTGAGACCATCCTGGCTAACACGGTGAAACCTCGTCTCTACTAAAAATACAAAAAATTAGCTGGGCGTGGTGGCGGGCGCCTGTAGTCCCAGCTACTCTGGAGGCTGAAGCAGGAGAATGGCGTGAACCCGGGAAGTGGAACTTGCAGTGAGCCGAGATCGTGCCACTGCCCTCCAGACTGGGTGACAGAGCAAGACTCCATATCAAATAAATAAACAAATAAATAAAAGTTGCAGACTTGGGTTCAAAGTCCAGCTCTTTCAAATCCAAGTTGGGAGAATTGAAATAAATTTTTTGAACCTTAGTTTCTTTGACAGCAAAATAGGGATAGATTTAGATGTAGACAGATATAGTTTGACTCAACAGAAGGGCTAAACTGGCAAAAGAGAAGAATTTAAAATCAAGTATTGTCTTCTTGTATTTTGAGCCCTTTTTATTGTCTGGGGCAGAGAGCCTACTTGACAAAATAAAAAAAAAATGTGTCATGCCTCCTGGAAAACATGCCAAAATGCCAAAACATTCACTAAACAGGTACCTAAGGGATTCATAAAAAATGTTTGATATGCAAAAGCAACAATTGTGATCTTAAAACACTGCATTGTCATTGCCATTATGGGTATTGATAGAAGGTGCTTATTCAAGCTGTTAACACTTAA